>NT_167247.2:2953414-3148913 GCF_000001405.40 Homo sapiens
GGCCAACATGGTGAAACCTCGTCTCCACTAAAATTACAAAAATTAGTTGAACATGGTGGTGCGCACCTGTAGTCCCAGCTACTTGGGAGGCTGAGGCAGGAGAGTCGCTTGAACCCAGGATGTGGAGGTTGAAGTGAGCCAAGATCGCGCCACTGCACTCCAGTCTAGCGACAGATGGAGACTCTGTCTCAAAAAAAAAAAAATAAGTATTTTTCTTTCTAGCCGTATATCCACCTTACATGGTCCCTCAACTCCCCAAGCCCACTCTGCCTGCCCCATCTCCTCCTTCCACATCCTCTCCTCAACCTAGCACTTGGTTGGCAATGCCTTCCTCGATCCTCTGCCAAAGACCCTCTAGCCAGTGCTTACCCTGTCTGTTCTCTCTCTTTACCCAAAGAAATACATAAAGTTTGACCAGAATGGAAACAGAGATATCAGTGAAAAAAGGTGATTTGGGGAAGTGTGCAGGCCTAGGAAGACAGAGGCTTGTTCCTTTGCTTGCTTAAAATCTTTGATCAAACGGCCAGGCGTGGTGGCTCACACCTGTAATCCCAGCACTTTGGGAGGGCGAGGTGGGCGAATCATGAGATCAGGAGTTCAAGACCAGCCTGGCCAACATAGTAAAACCCCGTCTCACTAAAAATACAAAAAATTATCCAGCTGGGCGTGGTGGCAGGTGCCTGTAATCCCAGCTACTCTGGAGGCTGAGGCAGGAGAATCACTTGAACCCGGGAGGTGGAGGTTGCAGTGAGTGGAGATTGCACCACTGCACTCTAGCCTGAGTGACAGAGTGAGACTCCATCTCAAAAAAAAGAAAAGAAATCTTTGCTCAAATATCACTTTTTCAGAGAACGCTTCTCTAACCACTCTATTTATTTTATTATTTTATTGTATTTTTTGAGACAGGGTCTCACTCTGTTGCCCAGACTGGAGTGTAATGGCACAGTCATGGCTCACTGCAGCCTTGATCTCCTGGGCTCAAGCGATCCTCTCACTTCAGCCTCCCAAGTGGCTAGGACCACAGGCGTAAGCCACCGTGTCTGGCCAGACCACCATATTTAAAACTGGGGACAAGTCAGGCTCACACCTGTAATCCCAGCACTTTGGGAGGCCAAGGTGGGAGGATCACAAGGTTAGGAGTTCAAGACCAGCCTGGCCAACTTGGTGAAACCCCATCTCTACTAAAAATACAAAAATTAGCCGGGTGTAGTGGTGATCGCCTGTAATCCCAGCTATTCGTTAGGCTGAGGCAGGAGAATCGCTTGAACCCGGGAGGCAGAGGTTGCAGTGAGCTGAGATTGTGCCACTGCACTCCAGCCTGGGCAACAGAGCGAGATTCTGTCTCAACAAAAAAAGCTGGGTGCAGTGGCTCACGCCTGTAATCCTAGCACTTTGGGAATCCGAGGTGGGTAGATCACCTAAGGTCAGGAGTTCAAGACCAGCCTGGTCAACATGGTGAAACCCCGCCTCTACAAAAATACAAAAATTAGCTAGGTATGATGGCAGGTGGCTGTAATCCCAGCTACTCGGAAGGCTGAGGCAGGAGAATCGCTTGAACCCAGGAGGCGGAGGTTACAGTGAGCTGAGATCAAGCCATTGCACTCTAGCCTGGGCGACAGAGTGAGACTCCGTTTAAAAAAAAAACAAAAAACAAAAAACAAAAAACTGGGGACCATTGGCAATAATACTCCTATGTCCCCTCTTCCCTACTTTGTTTTCCTCCATAGGCACCTGGCGCCTTTTTTTTTTTTTTTTTTTTTTGAGACGGAGTCTCACTCTGTTGCCCAGGCTGGAGTGCAATGGCGCGATCTCAGCTCACTGCAACCTCTGCCTCCCGGGTTTAAGCGATTCGCCTGCGTCAGCCTCCTGAGCAGCTGGGATTACAGGCACGCACCACCAGGCCCTGCTAATTTTTGTATTTTTAGTAGAGATGGGGTTTCACCATGTTGGTCAGGCTGGTCTCCAACTCCTGACCTTGTGATCCGCCTGCCCCAGCCTCCCAAAGTGCTGTGATTACAGGCGTGAGCCACTGCGCCTGGCCACCTAGCACCTTTAATATACTTATTTATTTGTATTGTCTGCCTTCCCCAATTAGATCAACCATGAAGACAAGAGTTTTCATTTGTTGGGTTCTCTGGGCCTAGAGGCATGTCTGGCATATAGTAAGCATTCAGTAAATATCTGTTGAGTGAACGTATGAATAAAGAAGTGAGTTCCTCCCAGCAGGCACTGAGAACATTGGGAGTACAGGGTTGCAGCTCTCTCTGCAGCAGGAGAATGTAGCTGCAATAAAGGGAAGTCAAGAAGCCAGAGTCCAGCCAGGTGCAGTGGCTCATGCCTGTAATCCCAGCACTTTGGGAGGCTGAGGTGGGTGGATCACAAGGTCAAGAGATAGAGACCATCCTGGCCAACATGGCGAAACCCCATCTGTACTAAAAATACAAAAATTAGCTGGGCGTGGTGGTGGGCGCCTGTAGTCCCAGCTACTCAGGAGGCTGAGGTAGGAGAATTGCTTGAACCCAGGAGGCAGTGGTTGCAGTGAGCCGAGATTGCACCATTGCACTCCCGCCTGGGCGACAGAGCAAGACTCCAACTCAAAAAAAAAAAAAAAGCAGCAGCAGCAGCCAGAGGCCACTCCAGCATCTCCCCTACCTGGCTTGGGTCAGGGAGAGGGCAGTGAGAAGTGAAAACTCCCAGCTACAGAAAAGGAAATATGTTGGGGGGAAGGGAGAAGGAAAGGTGTCTTCATCAATGCCGGGGCAGGGTAGATGGAGCCCTGGGCAGGGAGTTTGGACCAGGAAATCTCAATGAGGGAAATGTGCTGTCCTCACCTCTCCAAGAAGCGACTGGCCAAACAGAGTGACAGAGGGGATAAAGGTTATGCCTAGGGAGGCATGTGTCAGAGGCTATCATCCACTCTGTTGAACCCACAGTGACCAGCACCACCATCACACAAACATGCCTGCATGTGTGCACGCACGCGCAGTGTGCAAACCTGATGTCAGCCTCACTCCCTGGCTCTTCTGTCCACAAACGCTGTTTCTTTAAGTACCACTTTCAGTTCCTCCAAAGAATCTACTTAAACTCTTAAATTCCTGATCTCTATAGATTTTACTAAAGATTTCAAAGGAGATAAGATGAGAGGGTTACGTTGCACATTCTAAAGCAAACAAATTAAAATGTTTTGTTAGACATTTCCATATTTTTAAGGGCCTCCTTGGAGCTGCCAGGCTGGGAGTGAGGTTTCTCTCCCTTTCTAAACCCTGTGCCCATCTTGTCACCCTCCTGGAGCTGCCAGCAGACTTCAGATTCTTCTCCGATCTACAGAGCAGAAAAATTCAGCCAGCCCTTCCTTGTCTTCCTATCCACAGCTGCCTGCCCAGACTCATGAAACCTGACAAAATGCAAGGTCTTATCATTACCTGAACCTTGGACCTGTTCAAAAATACTAGTTCCTGAGAATAAATATCCCTGGTGTCTTCCTGCCCTTCCTGCACACCTCCAGTGGCTTATCAAAATATTTGTTTCATGCGCACACTGGGCTCTCATTTAAGAGGAATTTGGGAGAATGTTATTTTCTAATCTGCATTTCACACCAGGCTCCCCCTCCTTCCTGGGGTGCTAGTGTCAGCAGAACCTGATGGGGAAGTGAGGTCTGGGAGGCAGAGGAGGAAGGAATGAGGGGAAAGGGGAAGTTTGGGAGGAAGGCTTCTGAGAAGACTGGTGGGAGAGAAGGAGAGCCTGCAGACAGAGGCCTCCAGCTTGGTCTGTCTCCCCACCTCTACCAGCATCTGCTGAGCTATGAGCCAAACCAGGGATTTACAGGGTAGGGAGGGTGGGATAGGCAGCAGCATTAGATCGGAGGAATGAGATGGACAGACCTGGGCTGTGGGCTAGGAGGGCAGTCAGCTGGCCTAGGGTAGCCCGGGCTGGTGTCAGGGTAAGGAGAGGAAGGGAGGGATGAGGGCTGATTAATTTTTTTCACCCCACAGGAGGAAAAGCTTTCGGACTGCTGAAGGCCCAGCAGGAAGAGAGGCTGGATGAGATCAACAAGGTAGAAGGAAGAACTAAGGGGGCAGAGCCAGGGGGATGGGGCGTGGATGGGGAGGGCCTACCCTGGCTCTTATTTTCCCCTCCATAGCAATTCCTAGACGATCCCAAATATAGCAGTGATGAGGATCTGCCCTCCAAACTGGAAGGCTTCAAAGGTGAGGGGGAAACTGTAGGCGGTGGAGACAGGGCTGGGGGTAGGAGGGTTAGGATTTCCACAAGAACAAGGCAGGAACAGCAGAGATAAAAAGTTTACTTTTGTGGTAGCAAAAGGGGAACCTGCCTTTATTGCCCTCCTGCCACACTGCGGTCCCTTTCCCGGGCCTGCCTCTCTCAGCATCCCCTCTAGCTCCTTACACCCTAGCGGGGCCCCTCAACTCCCCAACCCCACTTCCTCTGCCTGCCCCTCCTCCTCCTTCCACGTTGTCTCCTCCACCTAGCAGTTGGTTGGCAACCCCTTCCTCAGTCCCCGGCTGAAAACCCTCGAGTCAGCGCTTATCCCTTCTGCTCTCTCCCCTCACCCAGAGAAATACATGGAGTTTGACCTTAATGGAAATGGCGATATTGGTGAGAAACGGGTGATTTGCGGGGGCAGGGTGGTGTGCAGGCCTAAGAAGACAGAGGTCTCTCCTACATGCTCCATTCCTCATGATTTGGGAGGGGGCCCACCTACCACAGTGGGAGGAAGGAGAATGGGGATGCGGAAGTGGGAGAGGAGAGAGAGGGTCTCCCCACCTTCTCCCCATCCCCATCCTCTGCCCCCAGATATCATGTCCCTGAAACGAATGCTGGAGAAACTTGGAGTCCCCAAGACTCACCTAGAGCTAAAGAAATTAATTGGAGAGGTGTCCAGTGGCTCCGGGGAGACGTTCAGCTACCCTGACTTTCTCAGGATGATGCTGGGCAAGAGATCTGCCATCCTAAAAATGTGAGTGTCAATTTCCAACCTCCCCTGTACTTACCTGTTTTCTCCTCCCCCATCCCTACCCTTGTCCACAGGCTCAACATTTCTACACGTTGCCCATCATCCCTTCTTCCATCCTTAGAGGGACCCTTCCAAGGTCCCGACCCCATCCCTATCCATAGTCCTGGTCCCCAGAAACTCCAACCCCTGCCCTTCCTCTTCCCCCTTCCACCCTCACATCCCCATCCCCTTCTAGCCTTTCCTAGCACCCTATGATTTATTCCCTTGAGAGGAGTGTTCCCTGATCCCTGTGCCTCTTCCCATCTCAACCAGGATCCTGATGTATGAGGAAAAAGCGAGAGAAAAGGAAAAGCCAACAGGCCCCCCAGCCAAGAAAGCTATCTCTGAGTTGCCCTGATTTGAAGGGAAAAGGGATGATGGGATTGAAGGGGCTTCTAATGACCCAGATATGGAAACAGAAGACAAAATTGTAAGCCAGAGTCAACAAATTAAATAAATTACCCCCTCCTCCAGATCAAGTCAGCTTAGTTTTTATTTGGGTGATTTTTTTCCTGGGTTTGGGAAGGAGAGACAGGTCTTGAGGGAAAGGTGGCAAGGATTTGGCCATATGAACAATCCATCAACAACGCTATAGTGTGTCCACTACAGCAGATGGTTTCACGCACCAAGGGGGATTCCAGCTGTGTAAGACAGCCTTAACCTCAAAGAATGCAGGCAGGACAAAAACACATGTCCAAACAAGGTACTCAGGCCCATGACAGATTTCATGAAGAGCAAGGAATACCATGAACCAACATTCTCCATCACTATAAGCTTTGTCACTTTGACAAATCACTCAGCCTCTGTGAGGCTTTTTTCTAAAAATGGGGATAAAGTGACCTATGCTATTGTGCCTGACATATCATAAGCCCTCAATAATGTTTAAAACTTGAATGAGCTGGGGCCGATGGCTTATGCCTGTAATCCCAGCACTTTGGGAGGATGGGGTGGGCAGATCACCTGAGGTCAGGAGTTCGAGACCAGCCTGACGAACATGAAGAAACCCCGTCTCTACTAAAAATACAAAATTAGCCTGGTGTGGTGGCGCATGCCTGTAATCCCAGCTACTTGGGAAGCTGAGGCAGGAGAATCTCTTGAACCCAGGAGGTGGAGGTTGTGGTGATCCGAGATCGCATCATTGCACTCCAGCCTGGGCAACTAAAAAGCGAACTCCGTCTCAAAAAAAAAAAAACCGAACATACAAACAAACAAAAAACACTTGAATGGGTAGATGAATGAAAGAACTGGTGCTATTAAATAAAGCAAAGAATTTACAGCTGGGCGTGGTGGCTCACGCCTGTAATCCCAGCACTTCAGGAGGCCGAAGCGGGCAGATTACCTGAAATCAGGAGTTGGAGACCAGCCTGGCCAACATGGTGAAACCCCATCTCTACTAAAATACAAAAAATTAGCTGGGCATGGTGGCAGGTGCCTGTAATCCCAGCTACTCGGGAGACTGAGGCAGGAGAATCGCTTGAACCCGGGAGGTGGAGGTTGCGGTGCGCCGAGATCACGCCATGGCACTCCAGCCTGGGTGACAAGAGTGAGACTCTGTCTCAAAAAAAAAAAAAAAAAAAAAAAGACTGGAAGGAGAAACTCATTGGAGACAATGACTATGGACATCCCTTTTAAGAATTTTGCTGCAAAGGGTAACAAAACGGTATGTGTGGTAGCCGGCCGGGGAGAAGGGAGAAGAGAATCATTTTGGAAGTTTGAAAACAGAAGTCATCTTAAATCTTACTGAGCCTCTGACTAAAATTCTCATCTGATTTCTGCAAACTTTTCTGCCTTCACTTTTCATAATGAATAAGCCGCCTCCTTTATTTAGCCATATCAGCCTAGGCACAGGCCCCCAAACTCATGCCTCCACTAATCTGTTCTCTGCACCTGAGATGTACACCTTCTTCTGAAACTTGGGTAAGTTCTAACTCGTTCTTCATATCTATTTATTTATATATTTTTGACAGATATCTACTCCGATCATTCTTCATATCATTTTTTTTTTTTTTTCCTGAGATGGAGTCTCATGTTGGCCAGGCTGGTCTCCAACTCCTGACCTCAGGTGACCCACCCACCTTGGCCTCTCAAAGTGCTGGGATTACAGGCGTGAGCCACTGCTCCCGCTCCCGGCCCTTTTTTTTTTCTTTTTCTTTTTTTTTTTTTTTTGAGACGTAGTCTCACTCTGTCGCTAGGCTGGAGTGCAGTGGCGTGATCTCAGCTCACTGCAACCTCCGTCTCCCAGGTTCAAGCGATTCTCCTGCCTCAGCCTCCCAAGTAGCTGAGACTACAGGCACGCGCCACCAGTCCAGCTAATTTTTGTATTTTTAGTAGAGACGGGGTTTTGCCATGTTGGCCAGGATGGTCTCCATTTCTTGACCTTGTGATCTGCCCGCCTCAGCCTCCCAAAGTGCCAGGACTACAAGCATAAGCCACCACGCCCGGCCTCATATCTCTTAATAAGAGTTTTTCTAGAAACATTTCTCAATCACCCCAGGCATAATCATATTTTATTTCTCTACTTCTTTCTTTTTTTTTTTTTTTTTGAGATAGAGTTTCGCTCTTGTTGCCCAGGCTGGAGTGCAATGGCACGATCTTGGCTCACCACAACCTCCGCCTCCCAGGTTCAAGCGATTCTCCCGACTCAGCCTCCCGAGTAGCTGGGATCATAGGCATGCGCCACCACGCCTGGGTAATTGTATTTTTAGTAGAGACGGGGTTTCTCCATGTTGGTCAGGCTGGTCTCGAACTCGTGACCTCAGGTGATCCGCCCGCCTGAGCCTCCCAAAGTGCTGGGATTACAGGCGTGAGCCACCGCGCCCATCCTTCTTTTTTTTTTTTTTTTTTTTTTTTTTTTGAGACGTAGTCTTGCTCTGTCACCCAGGCTGGAGTGCAACCTCCGCCTCCCTGGTTCAAGGAATTCTCTGCCTCAGCTTCCCGAGTAGTTGGGATTACAGGCGCCCGCCACCACGTAGGGCAAATTTTTGTATTTTTAGTAGAAATGGGGTTTCATCATGTTGGCCAGGCTGGTCTTGAACTCCTGATCTCGTGATCCACCTGCCTAGGCCTCCCAAAGTGCTGGGATTACAGGCGTGAGCCACCGCGCCAGGCCTTATTTCTCTACTTCTATAATATCCTGTGCATTATCTCCAGCGCCTTCAAATCATAGTCATTGAATGATCTGTTGAATGGGTATAACTCTGATGGGAGCAGAGAGTTCTAGAATCGGGTAGTAAGAGACAAACGAGGGTAACAGTACTGCATTTCACAAAATGAAACCCATTGTTAAGAAATTACAAATTCCCAATAATTTCAAATATAAAAATTTATTCATGAAAATTATAGGTTATAAAATTAAATGTCCGTCTTAGTCGATGGTTGCCCATATTTTGATGAACGAGTCATTCCTAGCCTATCTTTGTTCAAATGATTTGCATACATTATGCAAATAGGTAGAACTGCCCG
This sequence comes from Homo sapiens, assembly GCF_000001405.40. Lineage (NCBI taxonomy): Eukaryota > Metazoa > Chordata > Mammalia > Primates > Hominidae > Homo > Homo sapiens. The sequence goes on from NT_167247.2 coordinate 2,961,891, forward strand.
AAGAATGCCTACGCTGCGTGGTGCGGACGAAACGCTTCCCGGGGCCTTTGGATTGGTCTGTCTAGCCACCTCATTTGCATGACGTAATTTAATAACTGGAAGGCCCCGCCCCTCTGGTGCATTTCCCCGCTCCAACCACCTCCTCAAACTCACGGCAAAGGGATGCGAGAGCTGGAACTCTTACCAGGCCTGCGGAAACTCAGCCCTCCGGCAGCTAATCCCGCCCGCCAGCCCCCGTCCTCTCTTTCTCCCTAGCTGAAGGCGCCACGGGCCGTGTGTCGTTGCCTTCCACTTTTGGCGTCCCAACGTCTCTCCGCTCCCATCTTTCTACTAACGTCCGACGCACGCTCCGCCTCTTTCTCCCACATTCGTCGTGTAAATTCTGCGTCCCAACCGCCCAGCCGACCTGCACCGCATTCCCGCCCCCTCAACACGGCTCAACGGCCGACGCTGGGGGCCCGCCTCCTTAGCCAATCGGGGTCCTAGTGCCCTTAAGTCCCTCCTCTTTATGCAAATAACCTCCGCATGCTCCGCGCGCCCGGCCCTTTTTTTTTTTTTTTTAAACTAAAGACAGCCCTGGAAGTAGAGGGTTAGGGTATAAAGTGCCCCGCCCTTTATGCAAATTAAGGGGCGTGTCTAGGCGCGGAGGGAGGTGGGAGGTGGGAGGGGGTGCTCCCGGGGGCGGCGGTTGCCCGGATGGGCCGTTAGTCGGGGCTCAGCCGCGGAGTGAGCGAGGGAGACGGGAGGAGCCGAACCCGGCGCCATCCGCCGCCATCCTCCCCCGCCCCACCGCCATCCCGTCCCGGGGAGCCCCTAGGCCCGGGTCCCGGATCCCCGCGCACCCGGCCAGGTGAGTCTGGGTGAACCGTGCGCTGACGCCCTTTTCCGGCGCGGGAGAGGTGGTGGCGGTGGCGGTGGCGGTGGCGGCGGCGGCGGCGGTGGTGGGCCGGGGGGAGGAGAAGCTGCCATTAGCCGCCGCCATTTTGTCCTCCTGCTGCCGGGCCTGCTTGCCCCTCCCCCTCCGGTACCTCTACTCCGGGACCCGCACCTCCGGCAGTTCATTCAGGATCCGTAGTCTGCCCCTAACCACCCACCGTCTTGGCTTCAGGGGGTGACCCCTGCGCCTGGGTCCGTAACTCCCTACCCTCCGCTGCGCTCCTGGCTTTTCACCCCCATTTGTGGGCCCCCTCCCCGGCTGCCGCCCCGTGGTGGGCCGCGCCCGACGGTTCTCTCGGAAGGGCGCTTTTCCTCCATATTGGACCCCCTCCTATCATCCAGCGCTGTGTTCCCCCCTCTGGACGCCCCTCTTCGTGTCGAGCCACTCCCACTCTAGAATCCTGCTTTTATCCCAGCATCTTTGCTTTCTATGTTGCTCAGTCGCCCTATGTCTGCTTTTTCATTTTTCCTGTTCCTCGTCTCCTTTCTCCCCCAACCCCGTTTTTCTTCTTGGGCCTCTGCCCCCTTACTTCGTTGTCTACATCCTTTTTTTTTTTGCCATTCCTGTTTCCATATATTTTCCACCTGCTTTCGTATTCATTATTTTCTGTTAGTTTTGGTCTATTCGCTACATGACTCTTGTATTCGTTTTCCCTTCATATATTTATCTTCACAGATTGGCCTCCTCAAACACCTACGAAGCAACATCCATCTTATCTCTAGCTTGTCATAAAGTTCTTTCTCCCCAATTTTAGCTTTCATTCTGGGCCTGTCTGGATTTCCCTGCTTTCTTCCCCACTATTTCTCATCTCTTTACACTGTTCCCGTCCATAAACGAATGCCTGGTCACTCTGGAATGGACTGAGAGACCTGTCGTCCGGCTTGCTTAGGGAGCTGGAGGTATCGAGTAAAGAAACACTGGTGATGGACATTTTTAATGAGGATAGGAAAACGAAGGTGGCTCTGGCCTTGGCCCTCTGTTTTCTGGCCCATGGTTACAGGGTGCTAAGGTGGCTCCATAATGCTTTTTCTCAGTTCTTCATATGGTAAAACAGTATTTCATCTGGAGGCGATTTTTTCCAGGAGCCAATACAGGAGCAAGTTTAGGAAAAGATGGGATATTTCAAATACTTGAGGTTCCTATAGCCTGGGAGTATGTACAGCCCTAGTTGTTCTATGAGGATTTCTCTGGTACCAACCCCCATTCCGGCTGAGCAAGCTCATAAAATCCTTAAACTCCCAGCATACCTTCCTGCAAACCTTCCCAGATGGACACGAGGCTGCTGGGCTGGGAGCCTGGGGTACAGGGCCCTGGGGGCATGATTAGGGAGCTTGTGTCCAATAAACAGGGAATCTAAAGTGTTGTTTCTTCTTCTCTGATGGAATTGTATGCTTCTTTTTTAGTTTTCTCTTGCTTGAATTTGTCCTGTTGTAAGTCTCTGAAACGATTTTGGTGGAGAGAGAAGAGATTATTACTTGTAGGGAATTACTCTTTGTAGACAGGCACAAAGGGCAGAGTGTTTATACTAGGAGGATGCTGGATTTTTACTTAGATTTCCTTGACAAAGGTGTCTGGGGGAAAGGAGGGAACATGGCATTTGAGCTATGAGGGAGCTAAGTAGATCATGGTTGCTTAAGAAGAGTGGGCAGTTTACATAGACTGGAGGAAAAGACACCAGAGGGCCTCATATCTGAGTCCCTAATGATAATGCAATGGAGTTTTTAAGTTTCTGTTATGGTCTGTACAGGGGACAGAGACTGAGACACTTGCTGTCTGGCCCACAGGCTCTGGCACGTTTTGGGGGAGGTGCCTGCAGGACCCAACATACTCAATGAGCTTCCAGCGCAATGTCCGATCGCTCGGGGCCGACTGCCAAGGGAAAGGATGGAAAGAAGTATTCCTCGCTCAACCTGTTTGATACGTATAAGGGCAAGTCCTTAGAGATCCAGAAACCCGCTGGTGAGAGTCCTGCAAAGATGCTTCTGATGGTTGAAAGCTAGGCATGCATGGGGCATACGTTTTAGAGCTCTTTAAAGGGAAGTGGCTGTAGTAGAAATACCAAAAGACTAGAGGAGATTTCCCAACTTTACACTGGGTCCTTTAAAGGGGGTGTGGGCTCTGGGTGAACACCAGTTATCCTCCTACAAAGGCGTGTCTGTGGTTCCCTGTCTTTGGACATGTAAGAATTGGAGGAAAATAAATGTGGATTTGGGAAACTTTGAGGCCAGCTTGCTTCTTGCAGGCTCATGATCAACCAATCTCACATAAAAGTATTGAATGTTACATATCTCAGCCTTCTTGATAGGGATTTCATAGATTTTTTTTTTTTTTTTTTTTGAGACCAAGTTTAGCTCCTGTTGCCCAGGCTGGAGTGCAATGGTGTGATCTTGACTTACCACAACCTCCACCTCCTGGGTTTAAGCGATTATCCTGCCTCAGCCTCCTGAGTAGCTGGGATTACAGGCATGCGCCACCACACCCGGCTAATTTTGTATTTTTAGTAGAGACAGGGTTTCTCCATTTTGGTCAAGCTGGTCTTGAACTCCTGACCTCAGGTGATCCGCCTGCCTCGGCCTGCCAAAGTGCTGGGATTGCAAAGTGTGAGCCACCACAATCAGCGCGATTTCAGAGATTATTAAGGGCAGGGGAAGGAATCCCTTCTAAGAGAAGTTTGGAGGAAGTAGGTAATAAAATATTCAACATGTATAAATGTGTCCCAGGATAGGAGGCCATCAGATCTCCCACATGAGGCATTTTCGACCCTCTCTCCGTCTTGTTCTCCAGTTGCCCCTCGCCATGGCCTGCAGAGTCTCGGGAAAGTTGCCATTGCCCGGCGTATGCCACCTCCAGCCAACCTTCCAAGCCTGAAAGCCGAGAACAAAGGCAATGACCCCAATGTCTCACTAGTGCCAAAAGACGGAACAGGATGGGCAAGCAAACAGGAGCAGTCCGACCCCAAGAGGTAGACAGAGGCTTGGGGGACCTAGAGTGATGGGTATTTTAACTTGAACTTCAGGGAGCATTGGGGCTTGGTTTAGTCCAGCCACGTCTGAGCCAGAGACGAAGAGGTCCCTTTCTTACCTATTGCAGGTTCCTTGTTAAATGACTAAGGAATGGTACTAAACTTTAGCTTTTTGTCTTGGAGAGAGAGCATGAAAAAATAGACAACAGCCTACAAAGGATGACAAAATTATTTTGTCCTTGTATTTGTAAATGGTAGCAATGGGCATGATTTCAGTCCTGAGTCTCCACCAGTTGGAGAAGTCAGGGAGGCATCTCAGGTGTGAATAACCTTCCCATTCTGTCCCCTCAGTTCCGATGCCTCAACCGCTCAGCCGCCGGAATCGCAGCCACTGCCGGCTTCACAGACGCCTGCCTCCAACCAGCCGAAACGACCCCCAGCAGCCCCCGAGGTACCTGGAGAACTGGAGGGGTGGGGAGGAAGAATGGTTCATAGCTGCCCCACCCACATCATTTATCATCTTTCTGAACACTTCCCCAGAACACTCCTTTGGTTCCAAGCGGGGTAAAGTCCTGGGCACAAGCCAGCGTCACCCATGGAGCACATGGAGATGGTGAGTGCAGCACTTAATTGGGGAGCTGTGTCTGGGCACCATGGGATGCATGAACCCTGCACTGTATTTTCAGCCAAGTGACCTTGGTCCTCTTTGGCTAAATCAAGGACCACCCATATTCAGTTTCATGGAGGCACATGAGCAAGTTTAAGTCTCAGTCTTATATGATGGAGTGTAGTGGTGCCAGAACTGACCTCCTTGGGGAATAAGCAGTTATTCTGTAGGGGGGTGAGTTTGAAGGCGGGAAACCTGATGGTCTGGTACCTGTCAGAGCCTTCCACTTTTTTTTTTTTTGAGACGGAGTCTCATTCTGTCACCCAGGCTGGAGTGCAGTGGCGCAATCTCGGCTCACTGCAACCTCTGCCTCCTGGGTTCAAGCGATTTTCCTGCCTCAGCCTCCAGAGTAGCGGGACTACAGGCACACGCCAACACACCCAGCTAATTTTTTGTGTGTTTTTAGTAGAGATGGGGTTTCACATGTTGGCCAGGATGGTCTCGATCTCTTGACCTCGTGATCCGCTCGCCTCAGCCTCCCAGAGTGCTGGGATTACAGGCGTGAGCCACCGCGCCCAGCCAGAGTCTTCCACTTTTATAGCATGTCCTCAGGAAATGTCTTCTGTCTCCTGTTCTGCATCCCCATCCTAATAGGTGGAAGGGCATCAAGCCTACTGTCACGATTCTCTCGAGAGGAATTTCCGACCCTGCAGGCGGCTGGCGACCAGGACAAGGCTGCCAAGGAAAGGGAGTCTGCCGAACAGTCGTCTGGGCCCGGACCAAGCCTCCGCCCCCAAAGTGAGTGGCTGCCTTTTGGCCAAGACATTACCTATTGCATCTCAGAGCTAGGTGCTGGCTTATTCACCTTCCTCCCCATCACTTTCAGCTGTGTTCACTTGTCCTCCAATCATTGATACCTCTCTCTACCTTTTCCAAAATACAGATTCTACAACTTGGAGGGACGGAGGTGGGCGTGGCCCTGATGAGCTGGAGGGCCCGGACTCCAAACTTCATCATGGTCATGATCCCCGGGGTGGGCTACAGCCTTCAGGCCCACCCCAGTTCCCTCCCTACCGCGGAATGATGCCGCCTTTCGTGAGTCTTGGTGTCTTGTCTTGGAACGATTACACTGGAAGCTGGAGAGCTAGGAATCAGGACTTAGTCTTTGACCTATGAGATAGAGGGGAGGGTGGGAGGATGATTGATAGCAGGCTTAAGGAGCTAGAAGGGTATATGACTGTCCCTCTGAGCAGCTACTGTTGGACCCTTTTACAGATGTATCCCCCATATCTCCCGTTCCCTCCGCCCTATGGACCCCAGGGGCCTTACCGATACCCCACTCCTGATGGGCCCAGGTGAGCAATCCAGGTCTGGGTTTGTGGCTGGGGGCAGGGGAAGCTTATTGGGGGAGGAGATGGTTTTCTAGCCAGGAGGCTCAGTCTAGGATCAGTCTCGCATGTGGTTATACAACATGCCATATTTCATTTTCTTTTTTGTGTACAGCCGTTTTCCCCGTGTGGCGGGCCCCCGAGGCTCAGGGCCACCAATGCGCTTAGTAGAGCCTGTGGGTCGTCCCTCTATTCTCAAAGAGGATAATCTCAAAGAGTTTGATCAGTTGGATCAGGAGAATGATGATGGTTGGGCAGGTAAGTGGATATTAAGGGTCAAGAATTTGGATCTTGAAAGGCAAAACCTAATGAGGAAAAAAAAATACAGGGTTATGTGGGTGAAAGGCAGACATTGAAGTGTAGGAAGACCAGGCCCAATGGCTCACATCTGTAATCCCAGTGCTTTGGGAGTGTTAGGTGAGAGGATCGCTTGAAGCCAGGAGTTCAAGACCAGCCTGGGCAACACAGCAAGACCCCCCACCTCTACAAAAAAAAAAAAATTTTTTAGTTGGGTGTGGACTGTGCATCTGTGGTCCCAGCTACTCTGGAGGTTGTGGTGGGAGGATCAGTTGAGCCCAGGAGTTGGAGGTCACAGTGAGCTATGATCGTGCCACTGAACTCCATCCTGGGCAACAGAGCGAGACTTTTAAAAGGAAAAAAAAAAAAGAGTAGGGGAGGATGGATGGGGAATACCAAGTCCTTGCAAAGTGGTGAGAGGAGTAAGAATGACAAGACTTCATTGGTGGATCTAGACTTCGGAGGGAAGGATATTGGCATTGGTAGTCCATCTTGTTACATAGTTCCAGACTACCTCCCAAGATTGGAGGGCAGAATGCTTGGGTTACTAATACTCATATTTCCCCTCAGGGGCCCATGAAGAGGTTGACTACACTGAAAAGCTCAAGTTCAGCGATGAGGAAGATGGGCGAGACTCTGATGAGGAGGGAGCTGAGGGCCAGTGAGTTAGGGCCATCAGGGGAGAAGAGGAGGGGGTCTTGGTTTGTATTTTGGTAATATACTCTTAGAGGAGTATATTAGTTGCAGCTGATTTTAATTTCACTGTTGATCTGCTCACAGCAGGGATTCCCAATCAGCTTCTGGTGAGGAACGGCCCCCTGAAGCAGATGGCAAAAAGGGCAACTCCCCCAACAGCGAACCGCCCACTCCTAAGACGGCCTGGGCAGAAACCTCTCGGCCTCCAGAGACAGAGCCGGGACCTCCTGCCCCAAAGCCTCCCCTACCCCCACCTCACCGGGGCCCCGCCGGGAACTGGGGCCCCCCTGGGGACTACCCAGTGAGTGTCTCCAATAAGGGATTGAGAGGGTCAGCTGTGGGAAATTGGTGTCAGCTGAGTAATTGAAGCGGTTGTGATATAGAGGAAGGGGGGTGCTAAAAATGGGCTGTGTGAAGTGCCAGGCTGCAGAACATCCTGGGAAGCTTTTAAATATCTTTGGTAATAGGGGAGTCTGGGTAAGAAGTGAGAAACTGGGATGCTAATGAGGAAAGAAGAAAAAGGAGCCCTGGGTGTTTGGGTTTCGGAAGGAGAGAGGGAACAGAAAAATAAAAAGACTAGGGTGGCTAGATAGCTGGATCTGTTAGTATGCATCAGTAGTCCAAGCTACTCAGCAGGCTGAAGCAGAAGGATCACTTGAGCCCAAGTTCAAGACCAGCCTGGGCAACATAGCAAGACGTGGTCTCAAAGAAGACCAGGATAATGAGTTTGTCACCACCCAGAGAGATCAACCCCAAAGCCTGGGTCGTTGCATCCTGCAAGTAGCGACAGTTGATTTGTTGTAAAAGAGATGGTAGAAAGCATAGTAACTGATTCCCCTGGCCCTGCTGGGTCTTGCCAATTGACAGGATCGTGGGGGTCCTCCCTGCAAGCCCCCAGCACCTGAAGATGAGGATGAGGCATGGCGGCAGCGACGAAAGCAGTCGTCATCTGAGATTTCCCTGGCAGTGGAGCGGGCCCGGCGACGGCGAGAAGAAGAGGAGCGGCGCATGCAAGAAGAGCGCCGGGCAGCCTGTGCTGAGAAGCTCAAGCGACTCGATGAAAAGTTTGGGGCACCTGACAAGCGGCTCAAAGCAGAGCCTGCTGCCCCACCTGCTGCCCCTTCTACCCCAGCTCCACCACCTGCAGTCCCTAAAGAACTCCCTGCACCTCCAGCTCCACCTCCAGCATCAGCCCCAACACCAGAGAAAGAACCTGAAGAGCCAGCACAGGCCCCTCCTGCCCAATCTACTCCTACTCCAGGTGTGGCTGCGGCTCCCACTCTGGTGAGTGGTGGTGGCAGTACCAGTAGCACCAGCAGTGGCAGCTTCGAAGCCAGCCCAGGTATGGAGATGGGGATAGGTACTACCAGATGTCAGATCACTGCTTCAAGGTGCTTAAAGGTGCAGGGTGGTAAGGCTGGGGATAAATGAAGTAGAAGGCAGTTGTTTTGGTTTATTGGACTATCAGTGATAGTGTTCTATCATTTGTATATCTGAAGGAGGGAAGGTTTTGTCTGGAATCTTAGGTTGTAGTCTAATACCATTTCTTGGCAGAGTACTGTAGCTCACGCCTATAATCCCAACACTTAGGGAGGCTTGGGGTGGAGGATCGCTTGAGCCTAGGGAGTTTGAGACCAGCCTGGGCAACAAAGCAAGACCCTGTCGGCCAGGCATGGTGGCTCACACTTGTAATCCCAGCACTCTGGGAGGCCGAGGCGGGCAGAACATGAGGTCAGGAGTTCAAGATCAGCCTGGCCAACATAGTGAAACCCGTCTCTACTAAAAATACAAAAATTAGCCAAGTGTGGTGGCATGTGCTTGTAGTCCCAGCTGCTTGGGAGGCTGAGGTAGTAGAATCGCTTTAACCCGGGAGGCAGAGATTTCTGTGAGCCAAGACCATGCCATTGCACTCCAGCCTGGGTGACAGAGCAAGACTCTGTCTCAAAAAAAAATCCTGTCTCACAAGAAATACATAAATAAAAATGAAAACTATTTCCTATAGGCCAAGACTGAAGAAAGTACTGTTGTTCTAATGGTTTCATAGAAAGTTAATGCCACCACCATAGGCTCATGAGAGGCCATGAAGTGCTTTAATGGGTCTTAAATGGGAGGGGCTTCAATAGAATAGATGTTGAATAGAATATTTTAGTCTTAAGGGAGCTAGAGATGAGACGTGAGATTCCTGGGGTGTTCATGGAGTGTCTATTGTTGGACTAGATCACTCTGTTGTGTTTTTTCCGATGCAGTGGAACCACAACTGCCCTCAAAAGAGGGTCCTGAACCACCAGAAGAGGTTCCTCCTCCTACCACACCCCCAGTTCCAAAGGTGGAACCCAAGGGTGATGGGATTGGTCCCACCCGCCAGCCCCCTAGTCAGGGCTTGGGCTACCCCAAATATCAGAAGTCGTTGCCTCCTCGTTTCCAGCGGCAGCAGCAGGTGAAATCAAGTTGTTTACCCTCTAAGGGCTGCTTTTCTTCCTGGCTTCGGTCCCTAATTCTCTTCATAAGTTACCTTCTGGGTCCCTTTGCTTCTTTGTCCAGTTGTCTCCATTGTCACGCCAATTTCCCCTAGTCCAAGTTTTTTCTTTGCTGATTCCTTTGTCCATGTGTGCTTTGAGCCTCTCTCATCTTGTCTTTCCTCCTTTCCTAGGAGCAGCTCCTGAAGCAGCAGCAGCAGCACCAGTGGCAGCAGCATCAACAGGGCTCTGCCCCTCCTACCCCAGTGCCCCCATCACCACCACAGCCTGTGACCCTGGGGGCTGTGCCAGCTCCACAGGCTCCACCCCCGCCCCCCAAGGCCCTGTACCCAGGTGCTCTGGGCCGGCCCCCACCCATGCCCCCAATGAACTTTGATCCCCGATGGATGATGATTCCTCCTTATGTGGACCCCCGGCTCCTCCAGGGTCGTCCCCCTCTAGACTTCTACCCTCCTGGTGTGCATCCCTCTGGTAAGGGGGCATGGGAGGAGTGAGAAACAGGAAAGTCCCCTCAGTCTTAGGCATTGGATATTAGGGTCTTACTGTGACTCTGGTACGATAGGTTTTGCCCATCATAGTGATGAGGGAAGGGCATATGCTTGGCACTGCTGAGATAGCTCTGTTGCAAAAATGGGCTTAGTTAAGAAATAAGCAGTGGTTGGCCAGGCATTGTGGCTCACGCCTGTAATCCCAGCACTTAGGGAGGCCGAGGTGGGCAGATCAACTGAGTTCAGGAGTTCGAGACCACCATGGCTAACGTGGTGAAACCCCATTTCTACTAAAAATACAAAAAAGTAGCCGGCGTGGTGGCGCTCGCCTGTAGTCCCAGCTACTCGGGAGACTGAGGCAGGAGAAACGCTTGAACCCAGGAGGTGGAGGTTGTAGTGAGCCGAGATTGTGCCATCGCACTCCAGCTTAGGCAACGAGCGAAACTCCGTCTCAAAAATGAATGAATGAATAGCACAACTCCATCTCAAAAATGAATGAATGAATGAAAGAAGCAGTGGTCCTTCATTTGCCAGGATTTATTTGGGGTGGGTTGATTCTCTTGTAGGGAATCTGAGTGGATAACCTTGTTATATAAGAGCAGGCAAGGCCCGGACCTACTGGGAACAAGAGATGGAAGAGCTGACTTGACCGCGAGGGGAGATGCTTTTTGGGCTGGAGGGCTTGTGACATGAATAGGATTATTTTTCTTTTTCTTTGGTTTCTTCAGGCCTAGTTCCCCGAGAGCGTTCAGACAGTGGGGGCTCAAGCTCAGAGCCATTTGACCGTCATGCACCTGCTATGTTACGGGAACGGGGCACTCCACCGGTGGATCCAAAGTTGGCCTGGGTAGGAGATGTCTTCACCGCCACACCCGCTGAACCCCGCCCACTTACCTCACCTCTGCGCCAGGCTGCGGATGAGGATGACAAGGGGATGAGGTGAGTCTTGGTCATGAGAAATGGGTGAGTTCACAGTGAAAGGATCTAGGCCTGGGAGAAAGGTACTTTGGGTTAGTGGTAGGGATAGGGATGAACGGGAAAGGAGAGGCTGGATGGAGTGGCTCATGCCTGTAATCCCAGCATTTTGGGAGGCTGAGGCAAGAAGATTGCTTGAGCCCAGCAGTTCGAGACTAGCCTCGGCAACTGGATGCCATCTCTGCCAAAACAAACAGAAAAATAGTAAAAGAGAGTCTGCATCATAATAAAGTGTTCTTTTCCCACCTAGTTCTGGTTTTCCTGAGATACTTATTTCCATTCTTTCTGTCTGTCTCTTCAGGAGCGAGACTCCTCCAGTACCTCCCCCACCACCCTATCTGGCCAGTTATCCAGGCTTTCCTGAGAATGGAGCCCCTGGGCCCCCAATCTCTCGCTTTCCTCTGGAGGAACCAGGGCCCCGTCCACTCCCCTGGCCCCCAGGCAGTGATGAAGTGGCCAAGATACAAACTCCACCACCCAAGAAGGAGCCCCCTAAGGAGGAGACTGCACAGCTGACGGGGCCAGAAGCAGGCCGAAAGCCTGCCCGCGGAGTCGGGAGTGGAGGCCAGGGCCCCCCACCACCACGCAGAGAGAGTCGCACAGAGACCCGCTGGGGCCCTCGTCCAGGGAGCAGTCGTCGTGGAATCCCTCCAGAGGAGCCAGGGGCCCCACCCCGCCGGGCTGGGCCTATAAAGAAACCTCCACCACCTACAAAAGTAGAAGAGCTGCCTCCCAAGCCCCTCGAACAGGGGGATGAAACCCCCAAACCCCCAAAGCCAGACCCACTCAAGATAACCAAGGGGAAGCTAGGGGGCCCCAAGGAGACCCCACCCAATGGAAATCTTTCCCCTGCCCCAAGGCTTCGGAGGGACTATTCGTATGAAAGAGTGGGTCCTACCTCTTGCCGGGGTCGGGGCCGAGGCGAGTATTTTGCCAGAGGGAGGGGTTTTCGGGGGACCTATGGGGGACGAGGGCGGGGAGCCCGAAGCCGGGAATTCCGCAGTTACCGAGAGTTTCGAGGAGATGATGGGCGTGGAGGTGGGACAGGGGGACCAAACCACCCTCCTGCTCCCCGAGGCCGCACTGCCAGCGAGACACGGAGCGAGGGTTCAGAGTATGAGGAAATCCCCAAGCGGCGCCGGCAGCGGGGCTCAGAAACAGGCAGCGAGACCCATGAGAGTGATCTGGCTCCTTCAGACAAGGAGGCTCCCACACCCAAGGAGGGAACACTCACCCAGGTCCCTCTCGCTCCCCCACCACCAGGAGCCCCACCTTCACCAGCCCCAGCCCGCTTCACTGCCCGGGGTGGGCGAGTCTTCACTCCCAGAGGGGTGCCATCTCGCCGGGGCCGAGGAGGAGGGAGGCCCCCTCCTCAAGTTTGCCCAGGCTGGAGCCCTCCAGCCAAGTCTCTGGCTCCCAAGAAACCTCCCACAGGCCCTTTGCCACCAAGTAAGGAGCCTTTGAAAGAGAAGTTGATCCCAGGGCCTCTGTCCCCTGTGGCGCGCGGAGGCAGCAATGGAGGTAGCAATGTGGGCATGGAAGATGGGGAGCGACCCCGAAGGAGGCGACATGGGAGGGCTCAGCAGCAGGATAAACCGCCTCGTTTCCGGAGGCTGAAGCAGGAACGGGAGAATGCCGCAAGGGGGTCTGAGGGCAAGCCCTCCCTAACCCTTCCAGCCTCCGCTCCTGGACCTGAGGAGGCCCTCACAACAGTCACAGTGGCCCCAGCACCTCGCCGGGCAGCTGCCAAGTCTCCTGATCTGTCAAACCAGAACTCAGACCAAGCCAATGAGGAATGGGAGACTGCATCAGAGAGCAGTGACTTCACCAGTGAGCGCCGAGGGGACAAAGAGGCACCCCCACCAGTACTGCTGACACCCAAGGCTGTGGGAACTCCTGGGGGAGGTGGAGGTGGAGCCGTACCAGGTATTTCAGCCATGTCCCGCGGAGATCTGAGCCAGAGAGCCAAGGATTTGAGTAAACGGAGCTTCTCAAGTCAGCGGCCAGGCATGGAACGGCAGAATCGGCGCCCTGGCCCAGGGGGCAAGGCTGGCAGCAGTGGCAGCAGCAGTGGAGGAGGCGGTGGGGGTCCTGGAGGAAGGACCGGGCCAGGACGAGGCGACAAGAGGAGCTGGCCCTCTCCCAAGAACCGAAGGTGGGTAGGAACAAACAAATTTATTGTGGTTTAAAAATTGGAGGAGGGGGAAAAAGCCTGAGGGAAAGATAAGTTTGGGTGGAGTGGAGATTGTGGCCTGAGGGGCCATGGGCTCTAGAATGTCAGTAGGATTTCCATGTCTGGCTAAGGCAACTGGAAAGCGGTTGGTAGGGTGTTAGAGTCAAGAACACCCACCTATGTATTCATTGCTGGTTCTTTGCTTTCCAGTCTGTGCATCTGTATGCATAGGAATCCTTAGAAGGACTCAAAAACACCTGGACTTTAATAGGGAAGAGAATAGGTTGTAAGCAGAAGTTGGGAAACATAACTTGTGGGAAAAAGTAACGATTTAGTGGATACTGGAGCTAATGCTCTGTTTTCTCCAGTCGTCCTCCAGAGGAGCGTCCCCCGGGGCTTCCCCTGCCTCCCCCACCTCCCAGCAGTTCTGCTGTCTTCCGCCTGGACCAAGTTATCCACAGCAACCCTGCTGGCATCCAACAGGCTCTGGCCCAGCTTAGTAGCCGTCAAGGGAGTGTAACTGCACCAGGGGGTCATCCAAGGCACAAGCCTGGGCCTCCCCAAGCCCCTCAGGGCCCCTCTCCTAGGCCCCCAACCCGATACGAGCCCCAGAGGGTCAACAGCGGCCTCAGTTCTGGTAAGCTGGAGGGGTTATGGGTGGGAATATCTCCATCCCCAGAGAAGGTCAAGTGCTGGAGGGAGCGGGTGGAGAACCTGGCCTAGGGACCCTGCTGCTGGGTGCGTTTCTGCAGGGAGCAAGGGTAGAAGAATTGGGAGGTGGAGTAGAGAGGAAAAGTTAGGGTCAGTGGCAGAGCCAGGCAGATGCTGACCCTTTTTCTCTTTCCCAGACCCCCACTTTGAGGAGCCGGGGCCAATGGTGAGAGGGGTGGGTGGGACTCCTCGGGACTCTGCCGGGGTTAGTCCCTTTCCCCCTAAACGTCGGGAGCGGCCTCCCAGAAAACCAGAGCTGCTACAGGAGGTAAGGGATGGGTTTGAGATTGTGCTTCACTGCACTCTTACTCGTGAAAATTCTTCTGGGTTATGTTTTCTCTGTTTTCTTTCCTGTTTCTTTCACTGTGTTTTTACTCCAGAATTCTCAGTATTAGTCTCCCATGTGTCTCCCTTGTTGTCCCCACACCCTGTGTCACCCCACTCTGTCCTGGCTTCCTATAATTCCCAATTCCCACCCAATTCATGTTTTGCTTCTGGCCCTTCTCATCTGTAGGAATCTTTGCCACCTCCTCATAGCTCTGGATTCTTGGGCTCTAAGCCTGAGGGCCCAGGCCCTCAGGCAGAGTCCAGAGATACAGGCACAGAGGCCCTGACCCCTCACATCTGGAACCGTTTACATACTGGTGAGTAAAGCTGAGTGAAAGGACTATGGTAGAAGGGTTAAGAATGAGAGGGGCTTCTGAACTGTCATCTCCTCACTTCTCTTCTGGTTGGTGCTCCCTTCTCCAGCCACTAGCCGAAAGAGTTACCGGCCCAGCTCCATGGAGCCTTGGATGGAGCCCCTGAGTCCTTTTGAGGATGTGGCTGGCACAGAAGTGAGTGAGGGTGGGAGGGTGTGTCTGAGCTGGGACTTTTTTGAGCACTGGTCATACCCCCCACCTGCTCTGGGTTGAGTCTGGAGCTGTTCTCTCACTTGGCTGTCCCCTTTCTGCAGTTTGTATGTGTGCATCAGTCAGGTATTGGGGTGCTTTCTACCCTGACTTAACTAGCTCCTTCTCCACTCCTCTCAGATGAGTCAGTCTGACAGTGGGGTGGACCTGAGTGGGGATTCTCAGGTGTCATCAGGTCCCTGCAGCCAGCGAAGTTCCCCTGATGGAGGACTCAAGGGGGCAGCAGAGGGACCCCCCAAGAGGCCTGGAGGCTCCTCACCCCTGAATGCTGTTCCTTGTGAGGGTCCACCTGGCTCTGAACCTCCTAGGAGACCACCACCTGCCCCCCACGATGGGGACAGAAAGGTAAAAGACCAAAAAAGGATAAGGGGAATGTTTCCAGGAATCTGACTTTGGCCCTACCTTTTTCTGCTTTTTCTCTCTGCGTGTGTGTTCTGGGCATTCCAATTTGGATTTCCCTTTCCCTCCCCCAATGCACTTTACTGTGTGCCCAATCCAGGAGCTGCCCCGGGAGCAGCCTCTGCCCCCTGGCCCCATTGGCACAGAACGATCACAGCGTACAGACCGAGGCACAGAGCCTGGCCCCATTCGGCCATCCCATCGACCTGGTCCCCCAGTCCAGTTTGGCACTAGTGACAAGGTCTGTGTGGGCTGGATCTGGGTATCCTGAGTTGGGTGGAGAGAAGGGAAGGACTAAAGGTGGGACATAGAGGACACATGTCTGTCACGGGACAATGTCTCCTGCCTTCTTGTGATCACAGGACTCAGACTTACGCCTAGTGGTAGGAGACAGCTTGAAAGCAGAGAAGGAGCTAACAGCATCAGTCACTGAGGTAAGTGGGAGTAAGAGTTTGGTGGAAAGGCCCAAGATTTCTGGGGAAGATTGCTGGGAGTGACCAGGGCGTCCAGGATGCCAGACATCCCTCTCCACGAGGCCTCTCCTTCCCAGGCCATTCCTGTATCACGAGACTGGGAGCTGCTTCCCAGTGCTGCTGCCTCTGCTGAGCCACAATCCAAGAACCTGGATTCTGGGCACTGTGTCCCGGAGCCCAGCTCCTCAGGCCAGCGCCTGTATCCTGAGGTTTTCTATGGCAGTGCTGGGCCTTCCAGTTCTCAGGTAGGCCCCGCTTCCCATTGCATGACCCCTTCAGTGAATAATAATTTTTTTCTGCCTGGTATGTGTTTATAATCAAGCCTTTCTACGTTGCAGAGTTGTGAGATACCACTTTGTCACATCATTTTTCTCCCTACTTTTTGCTTCTATGGGTGGGATGGTGATCTTTTTTCTTGACCACAGATACTAAAGCTGTTTCAACCGTGCTCCTCTCCTGCAGATCTCTGGGGGAGCCATGGACTCTCAATTACATCCAAACAGTGGAGGCTTCCGCCCTGGGACACCCTCACTGCACCCTTACAGGTAAGACTCGATGCCTGTGGATCACAGAAGTACTTGGAGATGTGTTTCGGGGAGAGGGAAGGGGAAGACACAGTTCTAGGGTACTAGAAGCTAGTGGACTTAAGGCATTGCTAGGACTCTGGCTTCCTAACAGCTTTTCTCCCCACAATTTATTTTCAGATCACAGCCCCTATACCTACCCCCGGGCCCAGCCCCTCCCTCAGCACTGCTCTCTGGGGTAGCTCTCAAGGGCCAGTTTCTGGATTTCTCCACAATGCAAGCTACAGAGCTGGGGAAGTTGCCGGCTGGAGGAGTTCTCTACCCTCCACCTTCCTTCCTCTACTCTCCGGCTTTCTGCCCCAGTCCTTTGCCTGACACATCGTTGCTTCAGGTAAGAGGGGGGCAGGTATTAGATATTGGGGGATAGGGTAGGGAGAATGATTTTGTGGGGGTTGATATATTTCTCCCTGTTTCCCGACAGGTACGCCAGGATCTGCCATCCCCTTCGGATTTTTATTCTACTCCTCTGCAGCCTGGTGGCCAAAGTGGATTTCTCCCTTCAGGGGCTCCTGCCCAGCAGGTATATTGTATCTTCACACTTCCCCTTCATTTGATTTCTCTGTCCAGTTGCTGGCTTTGATTTTCCCTGGTTTTCTGACATTCCTCCCTGCCCCCAACATGCACACCCAAATTTCTTGTTACAGATGCTTCTACCCATGGTAGACTCACAGCTGCCTGTGGTGAACTTTGGCTCCCTGCCGCCAGCACCACCTCCTGCCCCACCTCCCCTTTCTCTGTTACCTGTGGGCCCTGCTCTGCAGCCCCCCAGCCTGGCTGTGCGGCCCCCACCTGCTCCTGCTACTCGGGTGCTGCCTTCACCTGCCAGGCCCTTCCCCGCTAGCTTGGGGCGAGCAGAGGTAAGGTACAGGAACTGAGGGGCTAGGGAGCGCCAAGACTTGGGAGTAGGGATTCTGTATTTCAAGGTAGGCAGCTCATGATTTTTTTCCCCTCAGCTGCATCCAGTGGAACTAAAGCCGTTCCAGGATTATCAAAAACTGAGCAGCAACCTTGGGGGACCTGGATCATCACGGACTCCCCCAACTGGAAGGTGAAACGGAATAGGGATGTGGACTTTCCAAGTGCTTCCTTACTTTGGAACCAGGGTCTGGATCCTAGGCTTGCCTTAGACGCCCTTCTTCCCTTAGGTCCTTCTCTGGCCTCAATTCCCGTCTCAAGGCCACGCCTTCCACCTACAGTGGAGTCTTCCGCACCCAGCGCGTCGACCTTTACCAGCAGGTGAAGGAGAAACCCTTGTGGCCCCAACTCTAAATTCGAGTTGCCACCTGATTTCCTGTCCTTCCGTCTCATCGCTGACCTCTCACTGTGACTCACTCTTTAACACATGCCTGTCCCCTAGGCCTCCCCACCAGATGCCCTGCGCTGGATACCTAAGCCTTGGGAGCGGACAGGGCCGCCACCTCGAGAAGGGCCCTCCCGACGGGCAGAGGAGCCTGGGTCCCGAGGGGACAAGGAGCCTGGGTTGCCCCCACCCCGCTGAGGGAGTTCCTCTTGCCCCCTACCCCCGGGGCTTGTATATAGATTATAAATATATAAGGGGGAAAGGGGTGGGCGGGGAGGGGTTGTGGGGCTGGGGCCTCACTTCCCCTCCTCCCCCTTCCCCTGGTCCCCTGTCCCTGGGGCTGTTTGTTAAAAAAGAGTAATAAAAGGATTTAAAAAAAAAAACTTCTACAATGATTTGGGGGATGAGTTGTTTGCATTGTCTTAAAGCATGGTGCTGAGTGATCTGTAGTTTCAGTCAGGGAAATATTCATTACTTATTCCAGTGAGCTGTTGAAACTAAAAACATGACCATCGTATTGGATCTTTAAATTTTTGTGAGTCTGGAATTTGGGCTGAGCTCAGCTGGATAAATCTGCTTTTTTGTGCCAGTGAGCGAGGTCAACTGGTTATCAGTCTGCAGCTGACACCTGGGCTGGTCCCAATATGGCTTCCTTTGCATATCTAGGGCCTTGGTGGGACATCTGTAACATTACTGGGTTATCAACCAGTGTCTTCACATGGACTCTCCAGCAGGCCTGTTAAATGTCCGTGAGCTCATGTTCCAAGAGGTCTAGCTGGAATTTTCTAAGCTTATGCCATGCTTAGTTGATAGAGCACTAAACTAGCCAAGGTAGGGGATGGGGGGGTTTAGAAGGGACTTCAACTGCATCTCAAAGGGACTAGCAAAGAATTTGCAGCCATGGGACTTCAGTTCTTTATGATGAACTAAGGGGAAATCTCTGTTAAGGCCTCAATGTTGGAGCACACTTAAGGGGCTCTTTGAATTGGATAGACCAATTCCAGCATTGTCAAACTAAGTGGGATTTCACATGGTAACGCTGCATGCTAGTTATGCTAAAGACTATACTTAGGTCTGCAGCTGCTCAGAAACTTTTTTTGATGGGTAATTTGAGAGCTCTATGCTAGTGTGCACCTGGAATATGCTCCCAACTCAAAATACAGGTTTTTTATTTATATATAAAGTGCTTTCGCACAAAAAATACAAACACCAGGCTGGGCGCGGTAGCCCACGCCTGTAATTCCAGCACTTTGGGAGGCCAAGGCGGGTGGATCACAAGGTCAGGAGTTCGAGACCAGCCTGGCCAATATGGTGAAACCCTGTCTCTACTAAAAATACAAAAATTAGCCGGGCGTGGTGGCGGACGCCTGTAGTCCCAGCTACTCAGGAGGCTGAGGCATGAGTGAGAATCACTTGAACCCGGGAGGTGGAGGTTGTAGTGAGCCGAGCTCGAGATCGGGCCACTGCACTCCAGCCTGGGAGACAGCAATACTCTGTCTCAAAAAAAAAAAAAAACAAACATCAAAACTGGCTTGTACAATTTAGCGTGCTGAGTAGAACACAACAGTGTTCCAAGGAAGTATTAATTTAAAAAAGTTCACACAAGATTAAGGGACACACTACCTAATGGAGACAATGTAGAGAGAAAGCAGCCAGAAAAATCCGACTTTTATTTCTTAAATACTGTGAAGGAAGAGGGGGGAAACGGTCCCCTGATGAGGAAGGGCCATAGAGCAAAGAGCTAAGGATCATCAGCAAAGGCCCGCTGGGCATTGGGGAAGCGCTGGGGACTGTAGTTGGGGTCTTCCTGCAGTCGTTTTTGTATATCAGACCGGAGCTAAAGAGAAAAAGTAAGCAGGTTGGAGAAACGCTGGCCAAGTCCCTATGATCCCAGCAAGCACACAAGGCCATCCCTCAGAAGCTAACATTTCCCCCCCCAAGCACACTGTCAAATAGCCCGGGGTGGCACTGTCAAGCCTTCCCAGATGCCAAAGGGGAAAACAAATGGTAGCACCAGGCTGACCAGTTCATCGCTGAAGGGATCCAGGGAAGAGGGACCCTAGCCCAACCCCTCCCACTAGACCATCCCTATTCTGCTTCAAGGTGGCACCTGCTGCCTGTAGCTCTCCTGAACCTCTGGTGCCTCCAGGTCCCGGCTCAGGCTCTCGGGGCTCGTCAGGGGCCGAGCTCCGGCTGCCTTAGCTGCCCGGCTCACAGCCTCTGAGAGAAGCAGCTGGGGGCCCTCACCCTGCATCGTCTGGGGGACAGGGGGTTGGGAGGGAAAAGAGGATCAACGTCAGATCCAGTGCCACCATCCGGCTCACCCTTTCCATGAGTCAACCACTCCACTGAGTCTCCATGCTAGTGGAGAGAGGGGAAATTAAGAGTCCAGGATGTGGTTTTTACAGCAGAAATGCCTTCCTAATTCTCTTTGGCACTAGCCAAAACTAAAGTGAATGTGCTTGAACGTGCTCTTCAAAACGAAAGGCAGAAGGGGTCAAGCCATCCGGGATTCAGAGCTAGGTAATCCACAAGAGGAAACCCACCTTAAAGGAAAATGGGATCTAAGCACATGGGGATTAGGCAGCTGAGCAACTAATACAGGACTGCTAGCAAACAGACTAAGGTCAAGTCCTGTATGGTTATGCAACAACCAAGAGCAAGTCTGAATCCCAGAAAAAGTTTCCTCATTAAACGAGGGGAGGGGAGACTGAATAACAAGAGCTCCCACCATCTCTACATAGTTTGATTCCAGGCATGACGGGGAAACCTGGATAGAGAGAGAGGCTTAGGGAAGAGGAAAACCAACCTTGCGTCTCTTGGCAGGCATACCACTGAGGTAGGCATCACTCAGAGGGGGCTGCGGTTTCACCTTCCGCTGGCTCTGAATGTCCTGCTGGATAATAGGGACCCATTCCTGGGGAGGAAAAGAGAAAATAGTAATGTCCTTGACTTTCAGCTGCCATGACCCACTGGATTACTTCCTGACACTTACTGGGGGGACTGCAGCTGCCCAAGGTTCTGTCTCAGCTGAAGCTCCATCCTGTTCATCCCGGGAGCCCCCCTCAGGAGCAGGAGGTGGACCTCGGGACATGGCCTCTTCTGCTGTTGTTCCAGGGGCTGGGGAAGCATTCTCCCGCTGGGTGTCAGATGGCGGGAAGAGCCAGGCTTCAGAATTTTTAGCCTCCAAACCTTTCTCCCCCAGCCCTCCACTCCACATTATCTGGCCCCTCAACCTCCCCCTCTCTAGAGTACCTGAGGCTCAGGGGAAGCTCTTTCTGCTCCCTGAACTTCCATTGGCTCCTCAGGAAGTGGCTGTGAAATTAAAGAACACCATACTTCCTCTCAGATCTCTCCAGTTCTCTCAAGTACCCTGACCCCATCGCCCAACAGGTCCCTTACCTGGGGGGGATCACCAACCCTGCGAACGTATCTGAGAATGGCATCAGGGCCTACAGGCATGTGCTCCAGTACCACCTGAAGCCTCAGTCCCATCATAGTGGTCAGCCAGCTCACCAAGGAGGGATTCACCCCACGAGACATACGACGCTGAGGGACAGAAAGCAGATTTAGAACACAAAACCCTCAACCACCTTTAGAAATAGATTAGATCCAGGTTACAGAATGTCAGTTTAGAAAAGAAAAATGAAAACTGCAGAGAATGGAAACCTCAGGAAACAAAAGGCTAAGGATCTGGGGCTAGGTGGTGCTTACAATTCGGCCATTGATAACAGCAGCAAGCTCCATCTGCTGTCCCCCCAAGCAGTGCAGGTTTAGGGCCAGGCATTCAAACAGGCCTTGGTTACACAACTCCAGCAACCGGGCCCCAAATCCACTATCTGTGGGCAAAATACAAGGAGGGAATGCTGGCACGTGGCAGCCCTGCACATGCAACAGGCCCCACTTGCCCCCGCCTGGCCAGCCCCTGACCTGTGCAATGCAGCACATGCGCAGCAATGCTATTAAACTGCTCTTGGAGAAATTCCAGGTTTGTCCGGATGATGTCCACACCTGGCTGAACCTGCACCAAGGACTGAGAGACAAGATAACACAAAGATCCCAAAATCAAGAATCATAAGACTGGGAGTGGAGGAGGCAGCTGCCTTGACCAGACCCAGGAGAGGAAAGGAATAGAGAAGGGTTACTCACAAAACTCTCCCGCACATACTCTTCTAGCCCCGTGATCAATGTGTGGGTTGCCATCTGTGGAGGAAACAGAACAGGTTTAGTTCAAAGCCTCAGTCCTCCCAAGACTTCCACCTCGACCCCAACAAGTCCAGGGCTTGTGTGGGGGCAATTGGAGCTTTACCTGGCAGAGAAGCAGTCAGAAATAAGGAATAAAATGTGCAAAAGAGGAGAGTTCTGGGGCCCCTGGCCTTCATTTACCCGGATGTTACTGGGTGTGGGCTCCTGACCACCCAGGTAGTGCTGGTGGAAGAAGGATCGCAGCTGGGGCTGGAGCCGTTGTAGTGGCTGGAAATGCCCATGGAGAAGCATCACTACGTCCACCATAGAGAAGTTCTGGCACAGAAGAGAAAGCAAGGCCCCAAAGAATCCTGGGGGACAAGGGCAGATGTTAGCAATGGCCTTTACCACCTGGCCTGCCCACCCACAACCAGATCATCAACCTCATCCCACCTTGGCAATACCCCTAAACCAAGGCCATCTACATTCCTCTGGCTGCCCCTTCCTGGAGCAAGCCAAAGCATCCTTTTTGCTCACCAAGGGCCCCATCAGCTCCAGGCTCAAAGATGTTGCTGGATCCACTGAGGCGTTGTATGAAGGCAGCAATACTTTCACTGCTGCCAGCCCGAGCCCCCAGGGAGCCCAGCAGGGAGCTGAGCACACCCTGCACCACTGAGGTAAAAAACTCCGGTGACAGGCTCTCAAGACCCAGGCCTCCAGGACTCCCTGCGCCACCAGAAGGGGAGCCTGGTGGGGGCATGGTCTGCTGCTCTGGGGCAGGTGGTGGGGGTGGAGGAGGTGGGGGTGGTGGAGGGGCTGTCTGTGTTGCCTGGCAAATAAAGAACAAAGAACAGAAAGTGAGGTGAGAATGAAGACACACGGAAATAATACGGCATCAAGAGGGCACAAACCAACGGGTCTGGGAAGATGGGGAGTTACATTCTGATCTTCACTGCTTAAAGCAGAAGTATGGTAGGTATTTAACAGAGTCAGGCAGCACAACTTACCTACCTCTTCCTCTGAACAGGTTGTCAGAAAGCAGTGACACTAATTACTATACTTTCTTTTTCTAAACCTCATTTTCTTCATCTTTAAAATGAAAGGTTCAGAGTCAATGAATTCCCAGGGCCCCTTCCCCTAACATGTCACTAGGGGCTCTTACCCAGTGGTTATGTAATGGCAAGAAGGTACCACTGCCTGGCTGGGCCGGGGGACAGGAAGATGAGGTGAATGGCAAGCCAGCCACTCACCTGCAAGAAGTCAGTCATGCCTTGGAGAAAGGCAGGGACACCAGGCATCGCCACAGTGATGGTGGGAGAAGCCACACCAGGCCCTCCAGCCCCTGGCCCTGCAGGCCCTAGCAGGTTCCCCAGAAGCTGAGAGAACTGAAGATCAGCCATGGAGGGTTGAGGGGTGGGTGGAGGCTGGGCAGGCCCCCCAGGAGCGGGGCCAGCTGTGGTAGCTGTGTTGGTGGTGCCAGCACTGGCAGAAGCAGTGGCAGGGGCTGGCGGTGGAGCCATACCTGGGGTCCCCTGAGCTGTAAGAAACCAAAAAAAGAAAGCTGGGCTGAGCATGGTGGCTCTTGGCTGTAATCCTAGCAACTTTGGGAGGCCAAGGCATGAGAACTGCTTGAGCCCAGGAGTCTAGGCCACATAGCAAGACCCCATCTCTACCAGAAAAAAAAAAAGACAATTACTAGCCAGGAGCTAGTACTGCTAGCTACTCAGGAGGCTGAGGTGGGAGAACTGTTTGAGCCCAGGAGTTCAAGGTTACAGTGAGCTTTAACTCACTGGATTGCACCACTGCACTCCAGTCTGGGTGACAGAGCAAGACTCTGTAACTTAAAAAAAAAAGAAAAAAGCTGGCCGGGCACGATGGCTCAAGCCTGTAATCCCAGCACTTTGGGAGGCCAAGGTGGGTGGATCACAAGGTCAAGAGTTCGAGACCATCCTGGCCAACATGGTGAAACCCCCTTCTCTACTAAAAACATAAAAAATTAGCTGGGCGTGGTGGCGTGCACCTGTAGTCCCAGCTACTCAGGAGGCTGAGGCAGGAGAATCACTTGAACCCGGGAGGCAGAGGTTGCAGTGAGCCAAGATTGTACACTGCACTCCAGCCTAGCAACAGAGTGAGACTCCATCTCAAAAAAAAAAAAAAAGCTGAAACCTGAAGACACAAGACACTACAGCAGCCCCATTCCAGGAAAGCAGGAACCAAGAAAATATGGAAAGAACTGGAAAGTGCCAGTGAGCAGACTAGGAAAGGAGTTTAAACTCTGAGTGGGGAAGAATGAAAACTCACCCACAAGGACTGGCTGCATAAGAAGCTGCCCCACAAGGCCGCTCACCATCTGGGCCAACGAGGCATTGGTACCCAGACCGGCGCCCTGCTGGATAGAGAGCAAGGGAGAACTTCAGACCTGCCCTTCCATGCACCACCACAGGAGTCTCTCCCTAGACTGTTACGCACTAGAACTCCCCGACCCTTGCTCACCAGTGTCCCAGAGACTGGGGGCCCTCCAGGATGGGAAGGCCGAGCCTGTGGAGGAGTGGGCCGGGCAATCACCACCCGGGTTGGAGCTGTTGGGAAGCCTGGCACCTGCTGTCCTGTGGGTGGCAGAAGAGACAGACCGAAGAGGGCTGAGGGCCAGGCCCTTGCCAGCCAGCTGCCACCATGGACTGTGCCCTACCTCCCAAGCCTCCCCTTCCAGGTCATTACCTGCGGCCGCGGAGGCAACAGCTGCCACCATGGCCTGATGAGTGATCTGGTGGGCGACGGCGTGCATGAACTCAGGGGGCAGGGAGGGCAGCTGGATGAGGGTGGAGCCTGGGGGGCGGGTCTGATGTAACCTTGAACCTGGACCCCTTCAACCCACCCACTCAGCCCTTCCCTTTCTCTACCCAGAGCTCAGCCTGCCCTGATGCCCTCACTCTTACCCAGGGTTTGGCCATGACCAGGGGGTCCCAGGGGGCCAGTGGGAGCACTCGGAACACCACCAGGCTGTGTGCCAGAATCTGGGCAGGGAGACAGAGACAGTGGCCCTGAGGTAGGTAGGGCCAAGGCCTAACTATATCCTTCTGAGATCAGGCATACTTCAGGCCCATAATCCCCCAATCAGAAAGCCTGCCTTTCCCTCCATCTAAACAGGGAGAGGTACTCCCTTCACCACACAAACACACCTCCAAAGACAAACCAACCCCCACACCCCCCACATCTGTCTACTTAAGCTTCTGCTCTGGTCCCCAGGCTACCACCACCAGCATGTGCCTCTCCCTTCCCCACCCTGTTCCCTCACACCTCAGCATGAACCTCCCTCATCATGCTGATCCTGCTCTTCTCGCCAGCAACTATTCTCACCTTGAATGTTCATGTGCATCATGACCACGGGTTCCACACTCTGGTGGGAAATCCGGATGACCCTCGGGTGGCTGGTGGCTGGCGGGGGAGCTGGACCTGGCGGGGGAGCCCCCTCAGCTGAGGACTCGACATTGGTAGAAGACGGAGCCACGGATGAGGCCTGCCCAGGACCAGGGGGAGGTGCCTCTGCATTGGGAGTTGGGGGGGGCCGAGTCCCATTTCCTGTCATGGTCACAGTGGTTCCCACATTGATCTGAAAAAGACAGATGGACAGGCAGATGTGAGAAAAATACAAGAGCCTAACCAAGAAAACCTCATGATAAACCTCTAAAGTATCTCCAGCCTTCATCACCATGTTTCCAGTCTCCTCCTTTCCTAACCTCCTTCAGGCCCAGTAGCTACCCTGGGTCACTCTATCAACACCCCTCACTCTCCCTCAGGCCAGACTCCCCCTAACCCACCTGTATGGGAATGGCTGCCTGCTGGAGCACCATGGGGGTGGTGTAGTGAGACATAGGCCGGACCACATGCAGGTGTCGTGGGGGCGTGCAGGCCAGATTGCAGCGCAGGTCAGACAGTGCAACAAAGGTGTTGCCCAGCAGTCGCAGGCTCTCCCCTACCAAGTTGATCAACCGCTGATCCTCCTCCCGGCCCTCGTGCTGCGCACAACCAGCCAAACACAAAAAGGCAGAAAATATCAAGCTGGAGTCCATCTCACTAATAAAAGCAATAATGCCTACTGAGAATACCATGTCCTCCAAAACTTTCAGTTATATCCTTGGAAGTTTACATGTAGACCAAATCTTTGCAAATAAATTATATCTTATTCACATAAGGAACATCCTATTAAAACACTACTATGAATCAGTAAGTCATCATATACTGATCTCCTGTACTTTACATTTTCTAAATTCATTCAGGGGCACAAGGGGTACGATACGAGGACAGTGCTTACAGCAAAGATTATCACCTTCTCTGTAAGGGAGGACAAAATCACTTACAGGTTTAGAGAGAAATTGTTTTGTTGCAATGTGTGTTTTTTTGTTTTGTTTTGTTTTTTGAGACAGTCTCGCTCTGTCACCCAGGCTAGAGTGCAGTAGTGCAATCTCGGCTCACTGCAACCCCCTCCTCCCGAGTTCTAGCGATTCTCCTGCCTCAGCCTCCTGAGTAGCTGGGATTACAGGTGTGCACCACTACATCCAGCTAATGTTTATATTTTCAGTAGAGATGGGGTTGCACCATGTTGGCCAGGCTGGTCTCAAACTCCCGATCTCAGATGATCCGCCCACCTTGGCCTCCCAAAGTGCTGGGATTACAGGCGTGAGCCACTGCACCTGGCCCTGTTGCAATGTTTTTCCAGGGAGGGAAAGAGTTATCTGTATTTCAGCCTGTTCTGTTTTGGGAGTACTGGGGCTGAGGAGAAAGGGCAGGGCCATCAAAGGGCTCACATTGTTATTGTAGTCCGTGGTGGCAGCAGCACCCAGAACCTCGTAGTAGCGCTGCAAGAAGGGCTGGAGGCGACTCTCCAGCCGCTGTAGCTCCTGGAGCACCTCGACATACTCCGCAGGGGAAGGATGGCTGTGGACAAACCCAAGGGGCAATGAGCCAAAGCCTTCCTCAGATTCCCACCCTCACAGTCAACAGGGACCACATGTGCCCTCTTTCTCCCTGGTCTCCCAGAGCCCTGGCCCAATCCTTCTCTGGACCAGCAGAGCTTCTATTCTCTTCAACCTCCGCCTCCCAGGTTCAAACGATTCTCCTGCCTCTGCCTCCCAAGTAGCTGGGATTAAGTTGCCTGCCACCACACCCGGCTAATTTTTGTTTTTTTTTTTTTTTTTTTTTTTTTTGAGACAGAGTCTCGCTCTATCACCCAGGCTGGAGTGCAGTGGTGCGACCTCAGCTCACTGCAAGCTCCGTCTCCTGGGTTCACACCATTCTCCTGACTCAGCCTCCCGAGTAGCTGGGACTACAGGTGCCCGCCACCATGCCCAGCTAATTTTTTGTATTTTTAGTAGAGACGGGGTTTCATCATGTTAGCCAGGATAGTCTCGATCTCTTGACCTCATGATCCACCCGCCTCGGCCTCCCAAAGTGCTGGGATTACAGGCGTGAGCCACTGTGCCCGGCCTGTATTTTTTAGTAGAGACAGGGTTTCACCATGTTGGCCAGGCTGGTCTCGAACTCCTGACCTCAGGTGATCTGCCCGCCTCTGCCTCCCAAAGTGCTGAGATTACAGGCATGAGCCACTGCACCCAGCCAAAGCTTCTATTCTTTACTCCCACCCATGAGAGGATAGGGAGAAGAAAATGAACTGCTCCCACCCTCCCCACCACAATCCTGCACCTACAATGGTGAAAGACTAATTCTAAGAAAGAGAGCAGGCCTTCGTGAACTCAGAGGAGAATTCCGATCAGGCTCAGGAGATACCATTTGGATTTCCTTGCCGTAGGGAGAGCAGCAGTTCTTCTCAGCTGCCTGTCCTAGCGTCATTTACCTATACCGAGAGAGCCCCTCCTCGCCCCTCAATGCTAACCCTTCAACTAAGACCTCCAAGTAATCCTTTCCCTCCCTTGCCATGGTTCATTTCCTTCTCCCCATACTTCACTTAGGATTCCCCACCCACTAAAGATTCCCTCCATCTCTCACTTGGGTGCATTTGTTTCCGGGGCAGGTGTTGGGCCCGCTGGGGCTGGGCCAGGAGTGAGCTCCGGGTTCTGGGCTGGGGCACGCTCCTCCACTTCTTCTGCCTCCATGGGCTCCCGGGGAGGTGCTTCACTTTCAACTGGTTCTGATGTTTGAGAGCTCAAGGCTACTGGCTCCGGGGTCACAGCCGGTGGCTGCGGGGGCGGCTGACTGTGCTGCGGTTGGGGCCCTCCTCGACACTGAAGGTAGGGGAGAGTCAGGATACCAAAGGCAGGGTAAGACTGCTGCAGAGGATTACTCTACAGGAGACTGAACAGAGAAAGTATCCTAACTAGACTCCCTGAAGGCATGGCTCTGCAATTTTATCTCCGACTCGCTAGCAACTAGCATAAGACTGACACAAATTAGATGCATAATAAGCATCTGTAATTTTTTTTTTTTTTTTTGAGACAGAGTCTCGCTCTGTTGCCCAGGCTGGAGTGCAGTGGCATGATCTCAGCTCACTGTAACCTCCGCCTCCCAGGTTCAAGAAATTCTCTTGCCTCAGCCTTCTAAGTAGCCAGGCCTACAGGCGCGTGCCACCACACCCAACTAATTTTTGTACTTGTAGTAGAGACAGGGTTTCACCATGTTGGCCAGGCTGGATTGGAACTCCTGACCACACGTTATCCCCCTGCCATGGCGACCCAAAGTGCTGGGATTACAGGCAGGAGCCACCACACCCGGCCACAGCATCTGTAATATTTGTAAATAAATTTCTAACAAAGAGTAGAGATTGTGGTTTCCTTTCCTCCACAAGTTGGTTTCCCAGCCTCCACAAGTTAAGAGAGTAGAATCCTTTAATTGAAAAGAGATGCCATGAGACTAAGTCTGAAACAAACTCCCCAGATACCAGGCACCAAGAGGATTGGCAGAAATGAGAGAGCCTCACAAAGATACTTTTTCTGCCCAAAAGAATGAATACTGCAGAGAAGACTAGATTATGAAGGCCAAACCCTGTGGATGTGGCCAGTGAAGCCCTAACTCCCAGGCTGAGAGAAAAGGGAGAGGGAGGGTGGAGAGAGACCCTAGCCAGCCTTGCCCACTTACCTCCATCCGGGATAGTAAGGTCTGTATATCCCTGATCATGTGCTGAGCCATCACCAGCCGTACCCGGGGCTCACTCTACAATGAGAGAAGGTTTATCAGGGTAGGTTACAGATGAAGCCATGAGTTCTACCACCTACTAAATCAGGTCCCAGCCATCTCTCAGCCAGGTCCACCCCACCTCCCAGCCTCCTTCTCCCAGATCCCCTTCCCTGACCCTCGGAGGCCCCTCAATACCTGAATCGGGGCCTGTTCCATGTTGATGTGAACATCCACAGCAGAGCCGTCACTCTGGGGAAAGGGTAAGGGAAGTTGTTCTGGGAGAAGCCAACACTAAGGCCTCCACACCTCCAATTCATTCCCTGGAGCCCTACCTCCTTTTCTCCTTAAAGACTGAGACCAATAGCACACCACAGGGCCCCCTGAACCCAATCTAAAGATGGAAGCATCTATCTTATTAATTCCCTGGTGCTACCACAACCAAAGCTACCCACAAAAGCCCTCCCCTGTGGAACATAAGCTTACAGGAAGATTGAAGGTTCCAACCATGACATAGCTGTTGGCATTCCGGTCATGAACAGAGGCCCCAGGCCCCCGAGTACCAGGGGGGGATCCCCCACCATGAGTGGCTGAGGCAGACCCCGTCCCAGAAGATGCCCCAGAAGGGAGGTGAGTCTGAGGAGGAGCCCGTTCCACCAGGTGGATAACCTTTCCCCCAACATCTGCAGAAAAATAGACACACACCAAAACATAGTATGAACAGGTAAACCCATGGCCTCAGTTCATCCCTCCAGACAGTAGCCCCAACCTCTGAACTGCCTCCCCAGCCCCCTTACTGTATTCCTGAAGCTTCTTATCATCTTGCAGAACTCGTCCCTGGTAAATGAGCCGTTGTTTTTCAGATGGGATGCTGACAGAGGCAGCAATGTGCTCCTTAAACTCTTTTACATTCATCTGAAAAGAAGAGGCATGCACAGGAATGGAAAGAATGGAGGAAAGAGGAAGAACAAAGACAGACAACCGAGTTGTGGAGGTGAGGGGTAAAAACCACCACAGAATCACTACCCGTTTGTCTTGACCGTGAGATCATTACTGTGCAAACCCTTAAACTAAAGTAACAGCTGTCAAAATACAGACAATAAATTTGGCTTGGCGCGGTGGCTCACACCTGTAATCCCAGCACTTTGGGAGGCCAAGGCAGGCAGATCACATTAGGTCAGGAGTTCGAGACCAGCCTGGCCAACATGGTAAAACCCCTTTTTTACCAAAAATACAAAAAAATAAGCCAGGCATGGTGGTCGCCTGTAATCCCAGCTACTAGGGAGGCTGAAGCAAGAGAATCACTTGAATTCGGGAGGCGGAGGTTGCAGTGAGCCGAGATCGCATCACTACACTCTAGCCTGGGTGACAGAGAGGGACTCCATCTCAAAAAATTAAATAAATAAACTTAATGAAGCTCAGGTTATAGATCCAGGAAAAATAACACGGATGAAAAACAAAAAAAAAACACATGGACATTATATTATCTGTCTGGCATCCAAGGGAGTATGTGTCTAGAGACATCAGTGACCCCTTTCCAAACACAAGATGATACCAGTTTATTTACCAGACTCTCCTGTGATTTCCAAGATTAAAAAATGGCAAAGAAGATGGGGTCTGGTATCAGGTTAATGAAGAAAGACTAAGAAGATAAGAAAGCAAAAAAGGTCCCAGCACAGTGGCTCACACCTGTAATCCCAGCACTTTGGGAGGCCGAGGCAGGTGGATCACCTGAGGTCAGGAGTTCAAGACCAGCCTGGCCAACACGGTAAAACCCTGTCTCTACTAAAAATACAAAAATTAGCCGGGCGTGGTAGTAGGCGTCGTCTGTAATCCCAGATACTCAGGAGGCTGAGGCAGGAAAATTGCTTGAACCCAGGAGGCAGAGGTTGCAGTGAGCTGAGATTGCGCCCCAGCCCTCCATCCTGGGCAACAAGAGCAAAACTCCATCTCAAAAAAAAAAAAAAAAGCAAAAAGAGAAATATTTTTCCTAACTACAAACTGACTCTTGGGAAGTACCAGAGTATTTATATACATCTAATCACAAGTCTATATATGGCTTTCTTATATCCAGGTAATATCACATTTTAGAAAACCATGGACCACCCCACATGCAATTTGTCTCCAAGTATTACAGGAGTAAAGACACAGATAGCTATGTCCAAGGCTTTAAGCTCAAGAGACTCAAGCTATGCCATAAAAATTAGTAATTTCACTCAACAGTCTATCAAGGACCTATCTCCATTATGGGTTCTGATTTCTACCCTTTAAAAACACAGCATAGACCTGACCAATGTCTATCAGTAAGACACACTTGCTTAGGGTTCCTGTGCTGTTTCCCTTCCCAAAGGCCAGAGCCATGCCTGTCCCTTTGGGTTGGGGTCCACCCATGATGATGACACACAGATTCTTCCTTCCTCTGTATTTCCCTCTGCATTAAGTTCTATCCATGTGGAGGACAGAACAAAATCAGCCTCACTCACAAAACATCAGAAAACGTTCTACTGGAATACGAACAAAGGGATCAATAAAAAGAAAATCTGAGGCCAGGTGCGGTGGCTCATGCCTGTAATACCAGCACTTTGGGAGGCCGAGGAGGGCACATCACCTGAGGTAAGGAGTTCGAGACCAGCCTGACCAACATGGTGAAACCCCGTCTCTACTAAAAATACAAAAATCAGCTGGGTATAGTGGCACACGCCTATAATCCCAGCTACTCAGGAGGCTGAGATAGGAAAATCGCTTGAACCCAAGAGGTGGAAGTTTCAGTGAGTCGAGATCGCGCCACTGCACTCCAGCCTGGAAGACAGGGCGTGACTCCATCTCAAAAAAAAGAAAAAAAAAGAAAATCTGGTGACCAGAAAATCAAGCTCATCTCTCAGGCTAAGGGGCCTAAACGAGGAAAAGCTAAAGGTGTCTTCCAGAACTAGTGAGGTGTCTCACCTGGGCCCCCACAATAAAGGTACGAGTTTGAGAGTCCAAGGTCTTCACCAACACCTCCAAGCTGTCAGGCTCCTCCACAGCGGTACTGGTACTATCATTAGGCTCCATGGCCGACAGGTCTCTAAAGAAGAACGAAGGAAGGAAGGCCCGCTGTTGCCCAGACCAGAGTGTACCCGAAAGACTCCCTAGCATTAATCCCTGCCCCAATACCTAAAAAGTATCTCCTGCACACACACACATTCACACCTGTCCCCATCCCCCTTCTGATTCCGGGGCACAGGGAGAGAAACACAAAGGGCAGGAGATCGACGGCTTAGGGAGCTGGAGGACGAGAGGTGGGAGGGGCTCCACGACGCCAATCACAATAAGCAGGGAGCCAGTCAGATTAGGAAGGAAGCACGAGACCAGAGACTAGTGTCATCACCGGTCACGGCAGGACAAGCGCCCCAGAGGTCGGAAAATCCTGGGACAACGCGAAAGCGGTGGTCGCCCCACACTCTGCGGAGAAAGTGGTTTCGCGCACGCGCGCCACGCCCATCGAACCCTCCTAACTCACTATAGACCCGAAACGGCACTCACGGGGCGACAGACCTGCTAGCTGACTGCCCGCGTCTACTGCCTTCCCACGGTGTTCCAGCAGAACGGCACAACTAACCCACAGCCAAACACACACACACACACACACACACACACACACACACACACACACACCCACCACCCCGCGGCTCCGCCCCCGACTTCCCCACGGACCGTCACTTCCGGTCTCCCCCAAACCTGCCACCGACGGCCACTTCCGTTTCCCCGATAGTATTTGGGGATCTCGAAGCGATACTTCCGGCTCCCCCCAGGTCCCCAAGCTTTACTTTTGTGGGGCACGACGAGAAAGTCCGCAGCCCCAAACAGTGAGTTTCTGAGGGCGAGTCGGGCCGGGGCCGGCCTAGGTGGGAGGGAGCCGAGCACCCCGAGGAGCCGCCACCGCTGTCGCCCGGGGGACCGTACTACGCCTGCGTGCGTCGCACTACGGATGCGTGGACACTTAAGCATCGCCCCACCCCCTCCCCCCTCTGGCGGCGTTCACGTCTGTGCGCGCGCTTGAGCGCTAGAAGATTGAGGTGGCTACCGTAAATGCCTGAAAAACAGTCACCAGCTGGGACTCTACCACTGCCTCGAGAGGGGCTATGGACGGTCGTATGGACCTTGGACTTTGGAGATGGGGGATTATGCCACATTCATCTATGTTTAAATCTTGGCAGGCTGATAATTTCAGGCGGCACTGTCCTAGCCAGCTAAAACTCTTCTCCACCCTATTGCCCTCGCTGCGCCCTTTCTTCTGTGCCTCCGGAAGTTACTCTTTCAGTAGGCGTTTGGGGGCGGCACTGGTCAATTTTGTTCTCGGTTGCTTGGTTGGGCTAGATTTCGGTTCTGCCGGGTGGGCGTTTTAAGGGCTGTGGGCGTCACATTCGTCGGTGTGTGGCCAAGGGGACATGACACGTTTTAGGAAAAGTAAACGTGCTACTAAGTTGCACGACTTGTCAAGAAAAGAGGCGCTTCCGAGTTTGAGAATTGGGAGCAAATGGAGTCCGAGTGGACAGAAAGACAAGACCCTGACCGTGGGGAATTTAAAGGCCGGCCAGCGTGCTTCCGAAGGCCGGGGGTGGAGGCATTACCGCCTCTCCGTGCCCTCTTCTCTTAACCTGCCCTGGGCCAAGGGCCTCGGCCCCGCGAAACTGCGAGTCCTCCAGAAAGACACATCGCTGTTGGGGTGTCCAACCTTTCTGGGATTCGTAGTTTATACCCAGGTCCTGGTTATATTTTAGTTAAGAGTTCTAATAAGCAGCTGTTTAATGAGCACTTGTGCCAGCCCATATACTACGGGTTTTGTGTATTATTTTAAAAAGCCTTTTAACGAGCTTTTAACATTTTTTAAGTGAGTACACTTAGACGAACATAAGTGTCAGAATTGACAAATCCAGGCCTACAGGACTCCAGATCGAGCACTTGTACTTTACTGCCCCAATAAAAAGCTGTTAACATTTTAGCTTATTTTTTTGAGAGAGGGTCTCGCTTTGTCGCCCAGGCTGGAGTGCAGTGGCGCAATCACAACTCACTGTAGCCTCTGCCTCCCGAGCCCAACCGATCTTCCCACCTCAGCCTCCCTAGTAGGGACCACAGATGCACACCACCACACCTGGCTAATTTTATTTTTATAGAGATGGGGTCTTGCTATGTTGCCCAGCCTGGTCTTGCAGACTTGGCCTCCCAAAGTGCTGGGATTATAGGTGTGAGCTACTGTGCCTAACCACATTTTAGCTTTTTATTACAAAAATTTTCGGCCGGGCGCAGTGACTCACACTTGGGAGGATGAGGCGGGTGGATCACGAGGTCAGGAGTTCAAGACCAGCCTGGCCAAAATGGTGAAACCCCATCTCTACTAAAAATACAAAAATTAGCCTGGCGTGGTGGCGGGCGCCTGTAATCCCAGCTACTTGGGAGGCTGAGGCAGAGAATTGCTTTGAACCCGGGAGGTGGAGATTGCAGTGAGCCAAGATCGCGCCACTGCACTCCAGCTTGGGCAACAGAACGAGACTCCCATCTCAAAAAAAAAAAAAAAAAAATTCAAACATTACACCAAAATAGAACAGTATTAATAAACTCTAATATACTGGTCACCCAAATTTTGTTTGTTTTTTAACTAAATCGCAAGCCTCAGCCCTCGGCAAATTTTTTGTGGCAGTCCATGGGATATAAATTTATCAAGCTAGGTGTGGTGGCTCATGCCTGTAATCCCAACACTTTAGGAGGCTAAGGTGGGCCGACTGCTTGAGCTCAGGAGTTTAATACCAGCCTGGGGCAACATGGTGAAACTCCGTGTCTACAAAAAATTAGCTAGGCGTGATGGCGTGCACCTATACCTCCTACTCGGGAATCATCTGAGCCGGGGAAGTCAAAGTCATGCCTGGGCGACAGAGTGAGACCCTGTCTTAAAAATAAATAAGTAAATAAATAATCTATCGAGGAAGATCCATCTCTCACAGCATTAACTGCTCCAGTCACTTGGTGCTATCCAAGGACAACCTATTTGGCAATTCTTACTGCCTATTATTTGAGAACTTATTACCCACCAGAAACTAAGTGCTTTGCAAACATTACTATTAATTATAGCAAATATATACTTTGGAATTACCATGTGCAAGTCTTTGCTAAGGGCTTTATGTGCATTATTTCATTTAATCCTATAAGATTGATGATTTGCCAATTTTACAGATGAAAAAACAGACATAGCAGTTAGGGGTTGGTGGTGTTTTGTTTGTTTGGAGACAGAGTCTCTGTCGCCCAAGCTGGAGTGCAGTGGCACAATCAGGGCTCATTGCAGCCTCGACATCCCAGGCTCAAGCAATCCTCCCTCCTCAGCCTCCCTAGTAGCTGGGACTACAGGCGTGTGCCACCACATCGGCTAATTTTTGTATTTTTTGTAGAGACAGAGTTTTGCCATGTAGCCCAGGCTGGTTTTGAACTCCTGGGCTCAAGCCATCCGCCCACCTTGGCCTCTCAAAGTGCTGAGATTACAGGCATGAGCTACCTGCCCTGCCTGTAGTTAGGGTTTGGACACATTCTGCCTGACACCAACATCTATCCTCTCTAACAGCCAGATTACATAGCCTCTTTGTAGTAATAAATGTTGAGTGAATGTGTCAGTGAACACTGCCAGGGTATACATATTTTTCTAATTGTAAACTAAAGAGAGCAATCCACCGTGCCCCAGCACCTGCATCATACCTGTTCTAAAGCATTTACCAAGTTGTATTGCAATGGTTTGTCTACACAGCTAGTTTTCCCTCTAACGACTTCTTCAAGATCAGGGGCTATGTCTTATTCGTTTTTTTATGTCCCCGGGGATTAGCTAGTTCTTGGGAAACAACTGGGACTTGGGATTCAAAACAGTTTGCTAAGTGAATGAATGAGAGGCCCAGTCAAGCTACTTCCCTTCAGTGCTGCACAGTGCAACAAATAACCAGCTCAGATACAGGTTCAAAGACCACAGGCTTCTCCCTGGACAGCTCAGCTCTCCTCATAACTCCTGAGAAACCCTGGACATGCCAGGGTGTACTATGGAGTGGTTGCATCCGGAAGAGGGGGAGGAAGTCCCAAACACTAAGTAATCCAGGTTTGGGTTGGAAAACAAGGTTGAAGTTACTCATTAGCAGGTGAAAGGGTCAAGGGTCGAACGCAAGGGAGCTGAAAGCAGAGTGGACTGAGCAGCCAGTAGGGGAGAGAGCAGTTAAGGCACACAGAGCACCAGCTCCCTCCTGCCTGAAGATGTTCCACCAAATTTGGGCAGCTCTGCTCTACTTCTATGGTATTATCCTTAACTCCATCTACCAGTGCCCTGAGCACAGTCAACTGACAACTCTGGGCGTGGATGGGAAGGAGGTATGGACTGAGATTGGGGGAAGCCTATGGTGGAGGCTCTGAGGGACTTGGGTGGATGGCCTAGGATGACTGGAGACCATCTTGGGAAAGGAAGAGAGGAAGGGGGTGTGAGTGTTGTGATAATGAAAGCAAGAAGAAAAATATCAGTACTGTGGCCATCAATGCAGAGGCATGGCAGAATTGGGGGGTGGGGTGGTTACCCAGGTTGACTGGGGAGGGGCAAAGAGGAAAAGTCATTTAATGACTCTTTGTCATGGATCCAATCCCCAGTTGGAAAGAGGAAGGCAGCCAACACCTCTACCCCTAAATCTTGCTGTTTTGACTGATGAAGAGGTTGAACCCATCCTGTGCTGGAACCCACCCTCTTTTGCTCCCTTCATTGTCTCTCCAGTTCCCAGAGGTCCACTTGGGCCAGTGGTACTTTATCGCAGGGGCAGCTCCCACCAAGGAGGAGTTGGCAACTTTTGACCCTGTGGACAACATTGTCTTCAATATGGCTGCTGGCTCTGCCCCGATGCAGCTCCACCTTCGTGCTACCATCCGCATGTGAGTGGTAAGGAGGCAGAAGCATCACTGGGTTCAGTCTCTGCCCAAAGTGTGAGAATCCACCCACCAAGAGCTGGCCTCTTAGCTGGTATATCTACTATGCTTGGCCCACGGAATTCAGTGGCTGTATTAATTGCCCTCTGGAGAAAGATGTGCCTAACCAATGCTTGGTAGCTTGAAACCCAAGGAGAGCTGGGCTTCAATAACAAATACAATGGAGTAAATAGAAGCCGGGACAGGCCAGACGTGGTGGCTCACGCCTGTAATCCCAGCACTTTGGGAGGCTGAGGCGGACAGATCACGAGGTCAGGAGATCGAGACCATCCTGGCTAACACAGTGAAACCCCGTCTCTACTAAAAATATAAAAAACTAGCTGGGCATGGTGGTGGGCACCTGTAGTCCCAGCTACTCACGAGGTTGAGGCAGGAGAATGGCGTGAACCCGGGAGGCAGAGCTTGCAGTGAGCCGAGATGGCGCCACTGCACTCCAGCCTGGGCAACAGAGTGAGACTCTGTCTCAAAAAAAAAAAAAAGAAGCTGGGACACTATGGTTGGGGTGATGCTCATTCTTTCCTCCTTGCCACCACCACCTCTGCAGGAAAGATGGGCTCTGTGTGCCCCGGAAATGGATCTACCACCTGACTGAAGGGAGCACAGATCTCAGAACTGAAGGTTGGTTCTTCCCAGCCCTCACCCTCCCTTGAGTTTGGTTCTGCATCTCTGTTCTCATACTTCTCCCACCTGCCTTGACAGGCCGCCCTGACATGAAGACTGAGCTCTTTTCCAGCTCATGCCCAGGTGGAATCATGCTGAATGAGACAGGCCAGGGTTACCAGCGCTTTCTCCTCTACAGTGAGTAGGGATACAAGGCAGGAAGGGTTGGAGGGAAACAAGGGAGGGCAGGAGAACTCCTCACTCTGGGTCCTATGACACCCTCCCAGGAAGAGCTAGGTGCTTCCAGGGGTTTTGACTGGCCTGACCCCACCTTGCCCTTCCAGATCGCTCACCACATCCTCCCGAAAAGTGTGTGGAGGAATTCAAGTCCCTGACTTCCTGCCTGGACTCCAAAGCCTTCTTATTGACTCCTAGGAATCAAGGTAAGGGGTTAAAATCTCATAAAACAGGATTAGGACTCACCAAGTCTTCTGGTGTTACAGGGTGAAAGAGGCTCGTGTGATGTCACCAGAGGGATGTGGCTAAGAGCTGTGATGTCACCTGAGGGAGGCAGGATGGGTTCTGGGCTACTCAAAAGAGAGGTTTCTGAGTTTGCACTGGATAAAGGGGGCAGAGGGTCATACGTGGAGGGAAAAGAGCCTTAGAGACTCCCCTTTGACACAGGGAATGAAAGAACACGTTCTCCCCCACCCCATTACTATCAACTTTGCTTTTCTCCCTGGACTTCCCTTCTGTCCTTCTTTTTCCCTCCCCCCATCACAGAGGCCTGTGAGCTGTCCAATAACTGACCTGTAACTTCATCTAAGTCCCCAGATGGGTACAATGGGAGCTGAGTTGTTGGAGGGAGAAGCTGGAGACTTCCAGCTCCAGCTCCCACTCAAGATAATAAAGATAATTTTTCAATCCTCATCTCATTCTGGGGTTTGTCTCCAGACGTCATTCCCACTCCTCCCATTTCAACATTCCCCCTGGATCCTCTACCACCTAAACTCCCAGCTGGACGGTGTCAGTAAGAACAGAGTGGCAGTAACTCTCACTTTGTAGTGGTATATTTAGGATTTGATGTGACACAGTTATTTATTGCTGAGTGAGCAAACCCCTAGCCCCCAAGTGGGGACTACAGGCTTCAGTGCTTCCCCCACACTGCCTGAGCTACCAGCCCTTCTGCACTGGCCCTCCTGCCAATACTGCCTGCACTGTCCCCACTCCCTCTGGCTCCCATGATCACCAGATCCGCCCTGCAGGCTCCCTGTCACCTGTGGGGCCCTATCCAGACCCCCTAATCCACTTGCCTAGCAGCCCCACTCTTCCCTCGATGGCTCAGATCCTGAGATCCAAGGAACACCCTGGGTTTCCCAACCACTCTCTTACTGCAGAGGTCTGTCTATCCTGCCCTGGTCTCCTCCACCCCAGGAGAGTTTTCAAAGGTAGAGAGGACCCTTTGGTCTTTATTCACCACCATCATACTTTTTTTTTTTTTTGCTTTTAAAAAGTGGAGGTGGAAAAAAAAAAAAAACTGAAGGTGGGAGAAAAGTAAAAGCAAAAATAACAGCTGGTGAATCCAAGAGCAGTGCCCTCACTGTCCATAAACACAAACACCCTAAATAGTTCTGTTCTCTCCTGTGTATGAAGGGGGGCCCTGCACCCTCGTACTCGGGTTTCTTCCCCATCCCTGAGGTCCCTATGCTTACAATTTGGGTCATGCCTCACACTTTTCTCCTAAAGCCCACACTCTCTTCACCCTTTGCCCCCACCCCACGGTCACAGCCCCTTTCCCGGGTCTCCCCTCTGCTCCTCACCTTCCCTCTCCAACCCCTCACTCTCCCAGTCAGTGGCCGCCTCATCCCCATTGGGCTCCCGGAGGCTGACAGCCAGCACCAAGGCCTGCAGGAGACCAAAGAGGCAGGCGAAGTGCAAAGGGTGGGCAGTAAGTAGGCTCAGAACAGCATGGAGCCCATGCAGGGCAGCCAGGAAGGACAGTAGGCCATGTAGCCAGAGGCCCAGCGGTCCACGCAGGCCCAGTGTGTCCAAGGCTGCCCGCAGTGGTCGTGAGCACAGGGCCAGCAGGGCAGAGGCCAGCAGCTCCAGAAGATGCAGGGTCAGGTTGGTGGAGATCTGCAGACACTCTTCTGGGCCCCCCAAGTACCGGGAGGGAGCTCCTGGTTCCCCCCGCAGCCAGCCCAACAGCTTCTCACGCCTACCAGGTTTCTCCAATGGGGCTCCTGGCCCAGGGACGCTCAGTCCCCCTTCAGGGGACACCCCTGGTCTCCTGGTGCCACCTGAATCCACATGATCCCATCTGAGTTTGGGACTGGCCCCTCCAGCCTCCAGTCTCCCAGACTCTTGAGTGCTAGAGATAGGCTGGTCCCACTTGAGGGAATCCATTCTTTTGCTCCCTAGCTGCTCAACTTGGGGCTCCTCCTTGCTTGGTTCGGAAGCAGCCCTAGAAACCCTCAATGCCCCCGAGTCCTTAGTCTTGGGATGCCCCACATCTTCCATGGTTTCTGGGGCACTATCCCAGTCACTTCCTGAATTCTCCGAGGAGCTGTCCACCCGTCTGGGTTCTGGGTAAGGCGGGTCAGGCCTCATTGGTTTCCGGCGGCCCCAAGGGCGAGGTAGCCAGCCACCAAGCCGTCGCAGGAACATGGCTGGGGTGTGTAATGGGCCCCCAAATTCTGAGGCTGCTTCCTGGCACTACTCAGACTCTCAGGATCTCCTCAGAAGCCAGAGTCTTTCTGGCTCAGAACAGGTATTTGCCTGGTGATGCAGTCCTACTCTGAATTCAGAAGTGGCTCCTCCCTTCTCTGAATAGTCATGCAGCCTCAAGTGTGGCAAGTAGTTTGCTTCCTCTTCAGTTCTGGGGTAAAGGGGGGCATACCCAAATTCATTCACCATCCACACCCCCACAATCTGAGATTCCAAGAATCTCAGATCTGACAAGGCCTGGGTCACCACCAGAGAGTCCTCTCTGCGTTTCCGGATTTCCTTCCCAGCAGGCAGCACCCCAAGTTTCACTCACCAAGGCCACACCCCAAGGTGTCCCAGAAACTGGGGAGGCAGTGCTCCATCCAATAAAGCGGGCAGGAAGGTGGCCCCAGGTCCTAGGTGCTCCTGGATCGTGTAGTCTTTAACTGCTGCCCCAAGGGACCTCAAGGAATAGGAATTCTCTTTGTTAGGAGGTGGAATGAAAGTGTCCAGCAAACTCCAGCCAGCAGCGTTCGTCCCTTGATTTAGAGGGCTATGATTTCTACAAAGTGGCCCGACTGGCCCGCGAACACGCAGCAGAGACGCGGCCTCCACAAGGTCAGAACTAAGATGTCCTCAGAGATCCCCAGTTACGAAGCAAAGCGCGGGCCTACTTCGGGACCTACGCGTCCGGGCGCTGTGCGCGGGGACCGCTCCCGGGCCCAGCGTCGGGGCCGCGGCCTTGGGGAGCCGCCGGGAGCCGCGAAGCCCGGAAGCAGCTGCACCAGGACTGGAAGGACCCGCGGGGGCGGTGCCGCAGCTCATGGGGCGGACCCTGCGAATAGACCGCCCCCGTATACCCCGCGCTGTCTGTGCGCGCCGGACCGCCAAACCGAGATTAGCAAGGACCAGGACCTTAATATAAACCCAGCTCCCCATTTTCCCGGGTTTCTCATGCTTCCCTAAACTTGGTCGCCCCCTACAGCCCCCTGCCCCTGGGTTCTTTTCCACATCCCCCACCACTCCTCCATTTCGCATCCAAGACTTCATGAAAGGCTTTCCCAGAAAAGAAAAAATGAGGAGTCTTGCGACTTGAACAGCCCTCCCCTGCCCGTCTGCAAATTTGAATTCCTGGATTTCACAACAGTGAGCTCTTCTTGTGCCTACCACCCGGCATGAGCAAGACAAGGGGGTGGGTGGTGGGAGAGTGGGGAAGTGTGGGAAAGAAAAGTGTAGACAAATGGGTGGAACAAAGAAGTTTAAAGTTTAGATTTGGGGGCTAGAGTTCTGGTCCCAGTTCAACTAAGTGTACAAGCTTGATAATCGTGGGCCTTCCTATCACACTGGCCTCTTCCAGCAAAACCCTACCCATTCTCATCTCTAGAGGCCTTGACTTCCCTTATCACCCTGCATTATAATATTTGATAACATGGGCCGGGAGTGGTGGCTCATGCCTGCAACCCCAGCACTTTGGGAAGCCGAGGCCGGCGGATCACCTGAGGTCGGGAGTTCAAGACCAGCTTGGCCAACATGGAGAAACCCCGTCTCTACTAAAAATACAAAATTAGCTGGGCGTGGTGGGGCATGCCTGTAATCCCAGCTACTGGGGAGGCTGAGGCAGGAGAATCCCTTGAACTCGGGGGGCAGAGGTTGTGGTGAGCCGAGATCATGCCATTGCACTCCAGCCTGGGCAATGAGAGCGAAACTGCATCTCAAAAAAAAAAGAAAAAAATTGGTAACATGGCACTTTCCCTCTCCAGCTGTGAACTCTTTGAGGGTTGGGAATGTCTTTACCTGTATTCTTGGCACATAGTATATGGACTTATGTTTGTGAAATCAGTGAATTGGCTGTAGTCAGGGAACTCCTCCTGGGGGAAGTGAGACTTGCACGAAGCTGGGCAATTCTTGGTCCAGGGGGGTTGAAAGAATAGGTGGGGGACTCCCAGGAGGGTCTGGGACCTGAAAGTGAACCCAGATTGGCAGGGAGGTGACCTTATCATGCCACCTGGAGAGGCTGCCCCTTCTGACTCAGGTGGGACTTGCATGTGGCTCCCAGGCTTCTGTTTGGCTTCCTCAAAATAGCTTCCAGAAAAGTGAATAAACCACAAATGGTTGATTTATTTCTGACTCTCAGCCCGTCTCTCACGAAGACAGAGCCTATTGACCAAAAACTTCAGGATCTGCATCTGAGCAGATCCCAGGAAGGGGAAGTCAAAGGGCCCAGGTCAGAGGCCCAAGTTCAGACTTCAGCAGCAGACTAGGGTCAGACTTTACCAAAGTCAGAACTCGAGGTTCATGTAAGTCCTTAGATCCCGCTCCCAAGCCCTGTCTTTCTCCTCCCTCCTTCTCTCCTCCCTCCAGCTCAGTGTGGCCACCCGAGGGGGTCTCTCCCTCCCAGCCACAGCTCGGGTATCCCAAGCTGGGAAATGTGTCACTCGGGGCTGGGGTGCTGATCTGTAGCCTAGTCCTTCCTGGTCCCTCTTGAGGACAGTGGGGATGGGATTGGCACGGCCCTCACCCCGGGGTCCCAGCCCCATTCCTGGCTCCCAGCCCCCCCTCAGCAGCAGTTTGAAGCCCGGGCTGGAGATGGGCACCCCAAGTGGAAGGTTGGGAGGCTGAGGACCCTGCGACAGTGACAGCAGGTGAGCAGTGGATGTGCGGTGGTTGGAATCTTGGAAGTGGGTGTCACAGTTCTCG
This sequence comes from Homo sapiens, assembly GCF_000001405.40. Taxonomy (NCBI): domain Eukaryota; kingdom Metazoa; phylum Chordata; class Mammalia; order Primates; family Hominidae; genus Homo; species Homo sapiens. The sequence continues at coordinate 3,004,556 of NT_167247.2, forward strand.
CAGTACTGGAGGGAGGGAGTAGGAGACCTGCAGAGAAAGAAGAAAAAGCATTAAGGGCAGGGGAAGGAAAAGGGGAAGAGTTGAGGCCTCAGAGGGGGCTGGCAGGGTAGAATAGGATCTTTTCAGCTTTTCTGCTAAGGAACAAATTGCCAGCTAGGCATAGTGGCTCACGCCTGTAATCCCAACACTTTGGGAGGCAGAGGCGGGCAGATGGCTTTGAGCTCAGGAGTTTGAGACCAGCCTGGGCAAAATGGCAACGCCTGCTTTTTTTTTTTTTTTTTTTGAGATGGAGTCTTGCTCTGCTGCCCAGGTTGGAGTGCAGTGCCATGATCCTGGCTCACTGCAACTTCCACCTTAGCGATTCTCCTGCCTCAGCCTCCCAAGTAGCCGGGATTACAGGCACATGCCACCATGTCCCGGCAAAGCCTGCTTTCTACAAAAAATATGCTTGAGCCCAGGAAGCGGAGGTTGCAGTGAGCTGAAATCACACCATTGCACACCAGCCTGGGCGACAGAGTGAGATGAGTGAGACTTTGTCTCAAAAAAAAAAAAAAAAAAAAAAGGGACAAATTGCCTTCCTTCCTACTTAACAGTGAGGGATCCAGGCTGGTCCAAAGGTGGTGGTGAGTTATCTGAATTAATTGTTCACTCAGTTACAGATCAAACTCCTTACTCCACTTTTCCCCTCCTTCTCACTACTGCACTTGACTTGTCTTAAAAACAAATTTCTTTAAACCATTGTGGGATCCAGAGCAGAATAGTTGAAAGAAAAAAATGGTAACCAGACCTAGCAAACTCTTGGGCAAGGGGAGGGACATTAGTCATAATGACTATAGCTAACATTCATGTATTGCATACTATGCGGCATGCACTATTCTAGCATTTTACATATATTAACCCATTGAATCCTAACAACAATTCTTACTACCCCCATTTCTAAGATGAGAAAACTGGAACATGTAGACATTAGGTTGTTTGCCCAAGTAAGTGGAATCAGGCTTTAAATCCAGGGAGCTCATGTTTATAACCACTTGACTATACTACCCTGTCAACCTACACATGAGGATAAGGAAAGAACTCTTCAGCACTGTGCTGGGGCGTCTGGTGTGGTGTGGCTGGGAGAGGCAGAACACAATGAGACATGGGTCTGAGCTAAAGTTTCCCCTTACCGGTTTTCCGGGCTCCTTGTCTCTCCATGGCTCTCCCTGACCATGCGGGCTACCTCAGGGAAGCCAGCTTCTTCAGCGAGCTGAGCCGCATCCCTGCCACTCAGCTCACAGACCCCCACCCAGGCAGCCCCACGGCCCAGGAGATAGCTCACAGCTGCCCCCTGGCCCGCTCGAGCAGCACACATCAGTGGGGTCCACCAGAAGGCATCCCGGGCGTTGATATTCCCCCCAGCTCCTCCTGCCTCATGCGGTTCCAGCAGTCTCCTAAGTTCTGGCAGGTCCCCCTCCTGGGCTGCCCTCAGTATCCGGTGAGTCATCTTATCCTCAGCCTCAAGGGATCTCCCTTGTCCATGTCTTCCTGATGCTCCTTCTGCCACTGCTTCTGCTGCTGGTGCCTTCATTATTCTTCTTTTCTTTCTCTTTCTTTCTCTGGCAGGTTCAGTCTGAGATCTCTGGGAGTCAGGAGCGCTGCTCTCATCCCCAATCAGGGCCTCATAGAAAGCTCGGGCTGCAGCCCCATCCAGGGTGGACTCTGGCTTCTCGGGCTGTGGCTGCTGCTGCCCATCCTTCCAGAGGTCGCTGGGGTCAGTGGCTGGGGTGAAGGTGATGAGCAAGGGCCGGGACATGGCTTTTGGGAGAACTGAGAAAATGATACCAGGCAAGGGAAGGATGAGACAAGTAAGCCAAGCTCGTGGTGACCCTGTAGCAACCACAGCCTCAGAGACCTGCTGGGATGAGAAAAAGTAGTCAAAAACACTTTCCTGCCACTAAAGTAACCCCACAACTTAGGACTCTGCAGGGCCTAAGGGAGAGAGACTTTGCGTAAAAACATGGAACCCTACAATACCGACTTTGCTCCTTAGTAAAGATTAATAAAACTCCATGAGACTGTTGTCCAGAGGTCCTGCGTCCGGCCCCCACCCCCATCCTCACCAACAATAAACACCAGCCTCTTTCTGAAACCACTTTCCCACCCCGTAAGACATACCAGTAGGAAAAAAAAATCAGCCTGGCCCTTTAAGTCTTCCGCGATCCCATTTCGGAGTTTCCTCTTCCCAAACAAAAATAGATGGGTCACTCCCTAGAAGATCTCGGGGAGAGTCTCCTATACGTGTTGCTGTGTAGCTTCCGTACCGCAAAATGGCGCCATTCTAATCAGAAGAGTTGACACAATCAAATAGCCACACGGCACGAAGACGCATGCGTGGCGACAACAACAACAAAAACCACAACCCACATTACTTGAGGGCTCGGGCGTGCGCAAAGCTCCGGGTTCAGTTTCCCGCGCTGGAACTTTTTCAATAGTAAACGAGCAAAGCTCCGCGCGCCCAGGTGGCGCGAGCACTAGGATCTGTCGGTTGGGGTCCTACTTTTACATAACGCCCCCACAATGCCCTTCGCCTTCCTCAACGTGGCCCCCGCTCCAAGCCCATTTTCTGGAGCCAGGAATCCACTCTGTGGGTTAGGAAAGGCCCTCAGGAGGCGGAGGGAAACCTGTGGAATGCCGAGAAGCCGTGTAATGAAATAACGTCACGCCTGCCCCTCACCATTACTCTGACCAGGGTTCGAAGGTCACACTTAGAGCCTAAGGGGAAATGGAGAAGTGCAAAGGGACGAGCAGAATGGCTGGCACCACCTCAGGTTAGCGCACTGGGACGTTCCAGTTCTCACACCGCCCACCCCACCCCACCCAAGTCCCTACGCACGGAGCCAAGCCGCACCTCTCCCCTCATGAGGCAGGAGCCCGGAGGAAACAGTATGCCCGTCAAGGGTCTCTGGCGGGACTGATTCGCACTAGGGGCCCAACAGGCAATAAGGACCCAGCGGATTGGCCGAGGATAGGCCAGTCCCCTGGGCAGCAGCGCCGCGCCGGGACTAGAGGGGAACGTGAGGAGAGCTGCGGAAAGAGATCCAGCCTGGCTCCCTCCTTTCCCCGCCCTAAGTCAGCCTCTTCACCCAGTGAGCACAAAACTGTATTGCCCAGACTCCCGGGCCCCGAACGCCATACCTGGCTTCCGCTTCCGGTGGCTTCTCGTTGTGCCCCGCCCGCAAGCGCCCTCCTCCGGGCCTTCGTGACAGCCAGGTCGTGCGCGGGTCATCCTGGGATTGGTAGTTCGCTTTCTCTCATTTAGCCAGTTTCTTTCTCTACCGGGGACTCCGTGTCCCGGCATCCACCGCGGCACCTGACCCTTGGCGCTTGCGTGTTGCCCTCTTCCCCACCCTCCCTAATTTCCACTCCCCCCACCCCACTTCGCCTGCCGCGGTCGGGTCCGCGGCCTGCGCTGTAGCGGTCGCCGCCGTTCCCTGGAAGTAGCAACTTCCCTACCCCACCCCAGTCCTGGTCCCCGTCCAGCCGGTGAGTCTGAAGTCGTCGCTGCTCCGAGTCCCTTGTCGCTGGGAGCGGCACATGGGGTCTCCGGACTTTGATGTGGGGGCGGGGGAGGAAGCGACCAGGTCCGGCACGAAGGAGGGAGAGGTGGCCTGAGGAGCGGAGGGGGGATGTGTGGATTCCGGTGAAAGGGACCTGACAATCGCCCCCAACCCGTGAGAAAAGGAGGAGCCCAGTTCTTGCTTGAGAATGATAAACTTGGAAACCCTTGGGAAAGGCGTGGGGGTCATGCAGAGACTTGTATTGGTAGGGAGCCTGAGTCGAGGTCCCTGCCGGAGTTGACACAGAGGAGAGAGGGCCCTGGCCTTCGGGAGCTCCAGGGATGTGGGTCGGGCTGGTGGGTCAAAGTATCTGTTGGCTTCTTTCAAGTGGTGGGACCCCAAAGAATGTTTAACTTCAAAGAAAAGGGGCTGAGATGTAAATTAGAGGAGCTGGAGAGGAGTGCTTCAGAGTTTGGGTTGCTTTAAGAAAGGGTGGTTCCGAATTCTCCCGTGGTTGGAGGGCCGAATGTGGGAGGAGGGAGGATACCAGAGGCAGGGAAGGAGAACTTGAGCTTTACTGACACTGTTCTTTTTCTAGCTGACGTGAAGATGAGCAGCTCAGAGGAGGTGTCCTGGATTTCCTGGTTCTGTGGGCTCCGTGGCAATGAATTCTTCTGTGAAGTGAGTTCTCTTCAACCTCCCTACTTGCCAGCTTCACATATCTTCCCACCAGACGTTCCTTCACATATTCCACTTCTACACTGTTCTCTTACATGCTATTTGAAAACTTCCTATCAGCAAAGAGTCCCCCCTATAAACCCCGACGAACCTGTGCTAAAGTGGCAAAACTGGGGCCCAAGTCCTGAGTCTGCCACCGTCCAGCAATATAACGTTGGGCTAGTCAATTTGTGTCTTTTTCTTTTTTTTGAGACTGGGTCTCACTCTGTCACCGAGGCTGGAGGGTAGTGGTGCGATCTCGGCTTACTGCCACCTCTGCCTCCCAGGTTCAAGCGATTCTCCTGCTCCAGCCTCCCAAGTAGCTGGGATTACAAGTGCCTGCCACCATGCCTGGCTAATTTTTGTATTTTTAGTAGAGACAGGGTTTCACTATGTTGGCCAGGCTGGTCTCGAACTCCAGACCTCAGGTGATCTGCCTGCCTCGGCCTCCCAAAGTGCTGGGATTACAGGCGTGAGCCATTGCGCCCGGCCTGTATCTTTTGTTACTAAAGTGGCACTGCTAGTACTTGTCTCAGGTGGCCTTTAGGAAAACTGAAATGCTACACATTGAAATGTTTTGTTCAGAAACCATGCTGTTCAGCTTCCACCTTCCTTAGCCAGCTGAGAGGACAAAACTGGTTCCTAGAGACGGGATACAGGAGTGGAGTAGGGACAAAGATCTTGAAAAGAATGTCTAAGAAAAAGATTGCTGTATCTACTTATCCTTAGAAAAGAAAAGCCAAAGCTTTTATGGGAGAGAGTGTAGGTGAACTAGGGAGAGACACAAGTACTTCTGCTGAGTTGGGAGTGAGAAACAAGCACAACAGATGCAGTTGTGTTGATGATAAGGCATCACTTAGAGCATTTTGCCCAGGTCAAAGATGAGGATTTTGATATGGGTTCCCTCTTGGCTTCCATGTCCTGACAGGTGGATGAAGACTACATCCAGGACAAATTTAATCTTACTGGACTCAATGAGCAGGTCCCTCACTATCGACAAGCTCTAGACATGATCTTGGACCTGGAGCCTGGTGAGGCACCCTCAGGGTTGTTTTGTGTGTGTGCGTGCACTATTTTTCTCTTCAAATCTCTATTCACTTGCCTGAATTTTGAAATTTCCTTTGGTTCTCTGATTTCTTTAACCCCAAATTCATGCTTTATTTTGATCCTCCACCTGACTCTTGTCTAGTTTTGTGACGTATATCACTTGTTCTCATGTTTTCTAAATCCGCAATTCAGACCTATTCCAAAATGCGTTTCCTCATGGGTCTGGTTTGTTGTCTGTTTCTCCTGCTTTGCACCTTCCAGTCTAGAGTTTCATCTTCTGCATTGACATTGTTGCAGTTATGTATTGAGGAGGGAGTTGGGAGGGAGAGCAAGGAGCAGAGGCTGAAAAGGTGTGAAGGGAAGGCAGAGCTGTCTTCGTTTGATGCAAGGGTCAGAAGCCCAGGTTTCTGGGTCCCATGCCCAGATGTTGGATGGGGTAAGGCCCAAAAGTAGGTGCTAGGCAAACTGAATAGCCCGCAGCCCCTGGATATGGGCAGGGCACCTAGGAAAGCTGAAAAACAAGTAGTTGCATTTGGCCGGGCTGTGTTTCAGATGAAGAACTGGAAGACAACCCCAACCAGAGTGACCTGATTGAGCAGGCAGCCGAGATGCTTTATGGATTGATCCACGCCCGCTACATCCTTACCAACCGTGGCATCGCCCAGATGGTGAGGCCTCTCTGCTCCTACCTGCCTCCTTCTGAGCAGTAAGAGACACAGGTTCCTGCAGCAAGAAGTCATGTTTAAGCCCTGTTTAAGGAAGCTAGCTGAGAAGAGGGGAAGAACCCCAGAACTTGGGCCTGGGAATTGAATTCTGATTGGGGGTCATCCTGAAGGGATTGTTTTCAGGGAGGGAGACAGACCTTGAATCAGAGAGTTGTGATAGACTGCCTCTTCCTCAAGGAACAAACAACAAATGGCTCTGATGGTTTGTAGCCTGCCTAATTGGAAGAAAGGCAACACAGAAGTTTGAGAGCCCATCTAGTCCAGAGAAGGGGCCTCTGGACAGAGGTGGGAGGAGTGGGGGACAGAGTGGTATGGGTTGGGCTGCGAAGGGAGTTGCCTCTTCTTTACATCTACCTGCCAACCCCTTCCATTGTATTCACCTCAGTTGGAAAAGTACCAGCAAGGAGACTTTGGTTACTGTCCTCGTGTGTACTGTGAGAACCAGCCAATGCTTCCCATTGGTGAGTGTTGAAGAAGGGAAAGGAAAGCACCGTGTGGCAGTCTTATGGGAAGGAGTTGGGGCTCAACACATTGGAGCCTGAGTCCTGAGGGGAGGTTAGGTAGGAATAGGGGGATACCTGGCCTGCTGAGTCTGGCTGTCTCCCAGGCCTTTCAGACATCCCAGGTGAAGCCATGGTGAAGCTCTACTGCCCCAAGTGCATGGATGTGTACACACCCAAGTCATCAAGACACCATCACACGGATGGCGCCTACTTCGGCACTGGTTTCCCTCACATGCTCTTCATGGTGCATCCCGAGTACCGGCCCAAGAGACCTGCCAACCAGTTTGTGCCCAGGTAGGGAGCAGGGAGAGTCATTAAGGGTCAAAGGAAAGGCCCAAGATCCCCCAGAGAGGGGAGGACAGGGCATGGCCCTTTCTTGAGGTCTGCTTCTCCCAGAATCAGGGCATCTCCCTGCTGAGTGACTGTGGGAAAGTTATTTGATTATCTGTGCTTGAGTTACCTTATTGTAGAATGTTCTTGAGCTGAGAAGTTGGGAACCACGAGGCTTTAGCTCTGAGCAGGTCCATAGAGGAGCTCAGGTGGGGAGGTGGGAATGCAGGTGACTGGCAGGGCCTGGATGGGGCTCATGCTGCTGCCTCTCTGACCTCTGCCCTGGCCTAGGCTCTACGGTTTCAAGATCCATCCGATGGCCTACCAGCTGCAGCTCCAAGCCGCCAGCAACTTCAAGAGCCCAGTCAAGACGATTCGCTGATTCCCTCCCCCACCTGTCCTGCAGTCTTTGTCTTTTCCTTTCTTTTTTGCCACCCTTTCAGGAACCCTGTATGGTTTTTAGTTTAAATTAAAGGAGTCGTTATCGTGGTGGGAATATGAAATAAAGTAGAAGAAAAGGCCATGAGCTAGTCTGCTGGTGCTTGCTGTTGGGGAAGGGAAGGTGATGGTGTGTTGGACTCCAGGGGCCCTCATGGCCCAGCCCACCCTCCCCAGATTGAAAACCAGGACAGATTTGTGCTCAGTGGATTGGGTGGTGTTTTTAGTATGGAGCAGAACAGAATTCCTAGGACTGCGTGTGATGAAATGCAAGGTCAAAAGGAAAAGACAAAGCATATTTCAAAGATGAGAAATATTTGTTTGGATATCTATGACTGTCTGTTTATACTGTAAGGGGCTTAATCAGCAGCTCCATCTTTTAGTTTTAGTTCTAAAGGAAAAGTAGCCTAAAGTCAGTATAACTAAAGGGTGGAACGAGGTGGGACAAGGTCCGGAATTGCTGCTCAGTGATGTGTGTGTGCCTGCCGCTGGTGGAGCTGAGACTGCTCATCTCAGAAGGATGGGGATGCTTGATTTCCTGGCCAGGTTGTCCCAGCACAGTGGGGATTGGCCCTGTTGTATGACGAAGACAGCACATGGTGGCAGAGATAGATACTAACCCATGGACTTTCCAAGGGAGGGAATAGGTCTTTGGAGGGTATGCAAGACAAAGGTAGACACTGGATAAAGAACCCGGTAGTGCCCAGGTATTACCCCATCTGGGCCATTACTCCCACACTCAGGAACCAGACGTTGTGGGTGAGGACATGCTGTCCCTCCTGCCAAGTAATAACTTCCTTCCCAGCCAGGATCCTGCCCCAAGTAGGAATATAGCTCTGCATTTACAGCAGCTCCTGCTCAGACCTTGTCAAAACCACCCTGCAGCTTAGGATTAAGGAGCATGGTCACAGGAAGGTGGGGTTTCAGGGCATCCCCTCAGGAACTGCCCATCTCCCCAGAATTCCAAAATGAAGGTCCATATGCTTGTAGGTGTGCTGGTCATGGTGGGCTTCACAGTAGGAAAGGGTAAGTGGGGCCCAGGGGCAGGGAGGGAGGAAGGGGTAACTGAGTCCAGGAAGGGGGTGGAGCGTGGCCATGGATAATCGGGCTTCCTACTGGCCCAGGGTATTTGAGAGTGACCCAGTGCCTCCATCCCTCCTTCTGCCTCCCCAGTTCCTGTTCCCGACATCCGGACGTGCCACTTCTGCCTCGTAGAAGACCCTTCTGTAGGATGCATTTCAGGCTCAGAGAAGTGTACCATCAGCAGCTCATCCCTGTGCATGGTGATCACCATCTATTATGGTAAATAAGGTCCCAGGAAGGGGCTGCTGGTGGGGCAGCCAATGGCTTGGTCTTCTCTCCTCTCACAGATCAGGGCTGCTCCGGGCATGGGGTACAAGAAGAGAGGAGGGGCTGAGTGCAATGGCTCATGCCTGTAACCCTAGCACTTTGGGAGGCTGAGGCAGGTGGATCACTTAAGCTCTAGAGTTCAAGACCAGCCTAGGCAACATAGTGAGACCCTGTCTCTACAAAAAAATAGCCAGGCATGGTGGTATGCACCTGTAGTCCCAGCTACTCGGGAGGCTGAGGTGGGAGATCTCTTAAACTCAGGAGGCATAGGTTGCAGTGAGCCAAGATTGCGCCACCATGCTCCAGCCTGGGTAACAGAGCTAGACCCTGTCTCAAAAAAAACCAGAAGAATCTTGGAAGGAGGGGTCTAAGGTTCTAGGGGGCCAGCAGAGCTCACTTTTCTAGCCTCTTGAAGGACTCTGGGTTAGAAGTAAATTAGGTCTGGGTGAAGGATGGGAAAAGTCAGTAGCAGGGGTTCTTGGACTATGGGAAGCTATTGGAAGGGGTTATCAGCTTTCCCCTCTCCCTCAGATGTCAAGGTTCGCTTCATCGTTCGAGGCTGTGGACAGTACATTTCCTACCGCTGCCAAGAAAAACGCAACACCTACTTTGCAGAGTACTGGTATCAGGCCCAGTGCTGTCAGTACGATTATTGCAACTCCTGGTCAAGCCCCCAACTCCAGAGCTCTCTGCCGGAGCCCCATGACAGGCCCCTGGCCCTGCCTCTGTCTGACTCCCAGATTCAGTGGTTCTACCAGGCCCTGAACCTCTCCCTGCCCCTCCCCAATTTCCATGCTGGGACGGAGCCTGATGGCCTGGACCCCATGGTCACACTGTCCCTGAACCTGGGCTTGTCTTTTGCTGAGCTGCGCCGCATGTACTTGTTCCTCAATAGTTCAGGACTTTTGGTTCTTCCCCAGGCTGGACTCTTGACACCTCACCCTTCCTGAATTCCACAGTGCAAATATCTTTCTGTAACACCCTCAGCATCCTGCACTGCCCTCTCTGAAAACACCCACATTCTTTGGTCACTGTGATTTCTTAGGCCTCCGTCTGTTGTACCACTAGCATCTATATGACTTTTGTGTAATTTTCTCTCTTGAACTCTGGTGCTGTTTTTTTGTTTGTTTGAGACAAAGTCTCGCTCTGTCACCCAGGGTGGAGTGCAGTGGCATGATCTCTGCTCACTACAACCTCCACCTCCCGGGTTCCAGCGATTCTCCTGCCTCAGCCTCCCGAGTAGCTGGGACTACAGGCGTGCACCACCACGCCTGGCTAATTTTTTGTATTTTTAGTAGAGACGGGGTTTCACCATGTTGGTCAGGCTGGTCTCGAACTCCTGACCTCGTAATCTGCCCTCCTCGACCTCCCAAAGTGCCGGGATTACAGGTGTGAGCCACTGTGCCTGTCTGAGCTCTGGTGCTGTTCTTCCCCCTAGAAAAGAATCTCTAGTGTGGATTCTGCCCAGACAGGCTGACCTGAGAAAGGCACAGTGGTTCCTCCATTCCTTCCCCATCATCTGAGTGTTCCAGTATCCCCCATCCCTCTCAATCCAGTCACCTGCCTATTGACATCTAGCTCTGTTTCCCCTGTCTTGTCCATGTCTCTAAGACCCAGTACCAGACTGAACTAGCAGCAAGAAGGACGAGGAGGCCGGGCATGGTGGCTCACGCCGGTAATCCCAGCACTTTGGGAGGCCGAGGTGGGCGGATCACTTGAGATTGGGAGTTTGAGACCAGCCTGGCCAACATGGTAAAACCCGCTCTCTATTAAAAATAGAAAAATCAGCTGGGTGTGGTGGCACACCTCTGTAATCCCAGCTACTCAGGAGGCTGAGACAGGAGAATCACTTGAACCCGGGAGGCAGAGGTTGCAGTGAGCCGAGATCGCGCCACTGCACTCCAGCCTGGGTGACACAGTGAGACTCCGTCTCCAAAAAAAAGGATGAGGAATAGAATTCTGTGCAGATGTCCTGACTTGGCAATTTTGTGTCCCTGCCTCACTGTCTCCACCAACCCCCGCCTGTCCTGGTGTTGTTCTGCCTCCTGTCCTCTCTTGCTCTCTTGTCAGTCTCTGGCTTCCTCGGCCCCATTTCACTTCACTGAGTCCTGACACCCATCTCCCTAGGGGCCTGTGAGAGGAGAGGGAAGGGTCTGTTCTGCTCAGCTCCATGTCCCCCATTTTCCTCCACAATAAACTGGGACTGGGCTAAAACTGTGTCACATTGTTTGTGGGGTCAGGCTCAGGTGTGGGCAGGTAAACACAGATTAAAGAGGGTTAATGCCTGGCGCAGTGGCTCACGCCTGTAATCCCAGCACTTTGGGAGGCTGAGGCAGGCGGATCACCTGAGATTGGGAGTTTGAGACCAGCCTGACCAATATGGAGAAACCCCATCGCTACTAAAAATACAAAATTAGCCGGGCTTGGTAGCGCATACCTGTAATTACAGCTACTCGGGAGGCTGAGGCCGGAGAATCACTTGAACCTGGAAGGTGGAGGTGGCGATGAGCCGAGATTGCACCATTGCACTCCAGCCTGGGCAACAAGAGTGAAACTGTGTCTCAAAAAAAAAAAAAAAAAAAAGGGTTAGTGAGGTTTGGGATCCAAATAGGATTGCAGAGCCCTCTCCATTGCACTTGGCGTTTGTCGCTTCCTCTCGGCCTCCTGTAAAGGGCACACATCCCTCCCCACCCTCTGCTTAGCTGGAGATCAAAGCATGGGGACTGTGATTCTTCCCAGCCTTAAACATACCCTACAAAACCTGGAAAGTTAGACCCTGATGATGCCAGGTCTTTTCACCTAAGAAAAGAAACTTTAGGCCAGGTGCGGTGGCTCATGCTTGTAATCCCTGAACTTTGGGAGGCCGAGGTGGGTGGATCACCTGAGGTCGGGTTTGAGACCAGCCTGACCAACATGGTGAAATCTTGTCTCTACTAAATATGAAAAATTAGCTGGGCATGGTGGCTCATGCTTGTAATCCCAGCTACTTGGGAGGCTGAGGCAGGAGAATTGCTTGAACCGGGGAGGTGTAGGTTGCAGTGAGCTGAGATCACGCCATTGCACTCCAGACAGGGCAACAAGAGCGAAACTCTGTCTTAAAAAAAAAAAAAAAAGCCTGGGCGCGGTGGCTTGCCTGTAATCCCAGCACTTTGGGAGGCCGAAGCAGGCGGATCATGAGGTCAGGAGTTCGACACCAGCCTGACCAACATGGTGAAAGCCCATCTCTACTAAAAAAAAAAAAAAAAAAATTAGTTGGGCATGGTGGCACGTGTCTGTGATCCCAGCTACTCAGGAGGCTGAGGCAGGAGAATCGCTTGAACCTGGGAGGCAGAGTTTGCAGTGAGCCGAGATCGTGCCACTGTACTCCAGCCTGGGTGACAGACCGAGACTGTCTCCAAAAAAAAAAAAAAAGAAACTTTCTCTTTAAACCAGAAAGACTCAGGAACTCAGAGCCACATGCCAGAGTTACCTGCTGCTGGGGCCCTGGACTCCTGCCATTCCTTAGTTCTTTTCAAGGATTCTGGCATCCAGGATGCCCTCTCGAGGGGCCCAATTTGAGGGGCAAAGTGCTGAGAGCACTGATGTTGGGCTGCAGTGGTTGGATCTTCATGCTAATATTTTAATTTTGAAATAGTGCAAACGTATAGAAAGCAAGGATGGATACAACAGCCTTTTCCATACACTGGATAAACATGCTGGACATAACGCTGCTCTGAGTCAGGCTTGGTATTGAGCAGCAGGACTCCCAGATGAGTATAGCCAGGTGTCTGCCCTTCCAAGTCTTGCAGCCCAGTGCTTGGGTTATGAAACCTTTTTCTGAAAAGCAGTGCAGCTTTGTGGCTGGGAGGTCCAATCCCAGCCCCTCTACCACTTGGATATGTCAGTCTCTTCAGCCCCACCTTGGTCACCTGTCAAGTAGGGATAGTGCCTCAGATGATTGAGAAAACACATGTAAATGTGCATACACAAGTAGAAGTTAAGGCCTTTTCCCCCTCAAAAAAATATATTTGCCCTAGAGTCAAATGCATACACAATGTTCAGCTTTTTTTTCTAAGGTTCTTACTATGTTGCCCAAGCTGGCCTTGAACTCCTGGGCTCAAGAGATTCTTCTGCCTCAGCCTCCAAGTAGCTGGGACTACAGATGCACACCACCATGCTCACCTGGCTGATTTACTTATTTTCAAACCTTTTTGGTAAAACATTCAGAAGCTTGCACATATCACAAGATGGATTTTTGTAAACCACACATCTGTGTAACCAGCCACCAAATCAGCGTGAAGACCTTTACCCGCAGCCAAGCCTGCCTCTGTTCCCCTCTCCCAGGTGCTCTTCCCAGCTCTGGGGTAGCCGCTGTCCTGACTGGTAGTAGCTTAGATGAGTTCTGTCTGTGCTTGATGGAAATGGCATCGTACGCATCTGCTTTTACCTATATAGTGTTTTGCACACGTGTTAACAAATCTGTGTGGCCTGTACTCTGACGGAAAATACCAAACCAATGATAATTAAGTCATGAGGCAGTTGGCGTACAAAGAGAGGTACAAACCCTTAATGTGCCCCCCAACCCCCACCTTGCTAAGTCCACCCTTCTCCATGACCTCTGACGTCAGTATAAGACAGAGAAAGGCCCAGGTTTATAGCAGGTCAACCTGGAAGACACCCTCAGAGGCTGAAGAACTTGGCCCAGAATTGAAGAGACCAGGACTCCAATAAGGTCTAACATCTCTTTGAGAGTGGCCTTCTCGGCTCGGGGTGACTCACGCCTGTAATCCCAGCCCTTTGGGAGGCCAACGCAGGCAGATCACTTGAAGTCAGGAGTTCGAGACCAGCCTGGCCAACTGGTGAAACCCCGTCTCTACTAATAAAATATAAAAATTAGCCAGGTGTGGTGGCATGTGCTTGTAATCCCAGCTACTCGGGAGGCTGAGGCAGAAGAATCACTTGAACCTGGGAGGCAGAAGTTGCAATGAGCCAAGATCACACCACTGCACTCCAGCCTAGGTGACAGTGAGACTGTCTCAAAAAAAGAGTGGCCTTCTCACCCACCTCCTTCTACCTGGGCCTGGTCCTTTCGCAGCCCCCTTCCCACCAACATAGCCCTCTAAACGCCCCTAGCCCCCACACAGCTCTGGTCTGACAGCACTGCCGAGGATGCCCACTAACTTTCTGGCATTCACCATAGGAGGGCTTTCATTTCCTCTTTCTCTTTTTGTGTCTAGAGCAAATCACATACCAAGGCAGGACAAGAGGACAGCTCAGCAGAGCTGGGGGTCCCTTACCTGACCCATGGTAGGGCAGTTAGGCAGGTGCACCTCCCTCAGCCTTCACCTCCACCAGAAGAAAGAGACATACCAAACAGTTTACACACAAATTTATTTGGGAGAAACATCCAGGGACTAGGGGACAAGAGAGGAAACCTGGTGGGCAGTAGGGCTGGGGGTACAGAGTAGCAGTAAGTGTGCTGAAGGGCGTCAACCAAGAGGAAGAGCCAAGGCTGGGGTCCAGTGGCTGGAGGGAGGCAAGGAGGGCTGGTATGAGGGACTAGAAGTCCTGGCCAAGCCCAGATAGAAGTCAGGAAGGTGGCTGGAAACTGGTGGAATTTTACACCAAAGTTTGCTGCAGTCACACTAAGGAGTATAGAGCCCTCTGTTTTGAGGGTCATTGCAGAAATCCAGGAAGCAGTATTGAGAGAATATCCAGAAGCCAGACACCGGAGAAGTTCGGGTATTTGAACAATCACTCATCTGCTCCTTACTTCGGCAGTCACTCACCATGACGTCAGAACCGCTGCCTGGGGAGGGACAGTGGGCACCAGTGATACGGAAGTCCCCAGGAAGAGCCCCAAATCCTCTCATCCCCACACTCATAAGTCAAAAAAAAAAGAAAAAGAAAAGATTCCTGTAGTTAGGCATGGGTGGACATGCCCAGTGTTCACCAGCCATGGAACTCCACTGAAGTTCCCATGCAAGGCTGGAGGAAAAGAGCCATATGAAATGTAATGGTTGGAGGGGGAGTTGGGAGTTACTGAGCCAAGTGAGGAGAACTAGCACCATAGGACCATGTGAGAAAAAGCTGGGAAATGTTTTGGAGATTGGGTGGCAGGAAGGAGGTGTATTGTTATTTATTTTTCAGACCAAAAGAGAATAAGATGATGTCTGCTGCTGTTATACATAATAGAGAAAAATCTTTGTGCCTGCATCCCAAGAAGTCATGTTCAGGGATGTTTGCTGCTGCCCTGCTTGAGAGAAATGACCAAAATGCCCATCAATAGTGGGATGGGGAAATCAGCTGTGATATGCGCATGCTATGGAGTAGTATACAGCAGGTCAATAAAACAAGGAAGCTGTTTACAAACTGATATCGGAACATTCAGTTCCCCTAACTTAAATGTGGAATAATGTTTACAGTGGGATGCTACTATCTTGGGTTGGGGCGGGGGAAGAGGTGAAAAAATAGTAAACAGCATATTTGTGCAGGGTGGAATGTGCATAAAAGATTGCAGGAGGGATCATCCAGAAAGTAAAAAAAGTGGTCACATGTGCAGGGGAGCCAGGTGGGTTAGGGTAGTAGCGGGAGACTTTGGTTTGATGGTATTGTATACTCTGATATTTGACCCACATCTGTGCATCGGCTATGTTAAAAGGGTAGTAAGAGGACTTGAACACAGGCAGCTGCATGCAGTGGTTGTTGAGAGCACCATCTCTGGAGCCATCACAAATTCTGGCTCAGCATCTGTGAGACTCAGGCAAGGTTATGACCTTTCTGCACCTGTTTCCTCATCTGTAAAATGCACATAGTAATAATACCTGCCTCAGCGGATTGCAAGTGTTTAGAACAGTGCCTAGCACATATTATGTGTTACGTTTTTGCTAACTTAAGAAAGGTGGGGGGTCGGTGGAAGAGCAGGCATCGGGAAGGAGTCAATTTTCAGCGAGGGAGATGTCCAGTGGTCAACGGGATATGAGGAGAGCGGTTTGACATAACATTCAGATTCAGAAGGAAGTGGTATGTGGCTGCTGGTTGAAGCCAGCAAAGCAGATAAAATCCTCTGCTTTTGAGTATATGAAGTGGGAAGACAGCTAAGGACCAAACCTTGGTGAACATGAACCACTAAGGGTCAGAGAGAAAACGCTCCATGAAGGAGACTGAAGAAGCCGTGGAGGATGCAGGAGAAGAGCAACACCAGCAGTAACTGCAGACAGATGCGGAAGCAGACAGCTTGAGGACAGGCAAGGGCACCTGGAGATCTGGAGGGTCCCCGTCAAAGCTGCGCACCTTGATAGGGTAGAAGCTATTCAGCTACAGATTGAGGAGAGAAGGTTAGTGGAAGTGGAGACAGAGTGTGGCTCTGAAGAAAAGGGAAGAGAGGCTGGGCACGGTGGCTCACGCCTGTAATCCCAGCACTCTGGGAAGCTAAGGTGGGTGGATCACCTGAGGTCAGGAGTTCGAGACCAGCCTGGCCAACATGGTGAATCCCCATCTCTACTAAAAATACAAAAAATTAGCTGGGCGTGGTGGCGTGCACCTTTAATCCCAGCTGCTTGGGAGACTGAGGCACAAGAATTGCTTGAACTGGGGAGGTGGAGGTTGCAGTGAGCCAAGATTGCGCCACTGCACTCCAGCCTGGGTGACAGAGCAGCAAAAAAAAAAAGACAGGATTGGAGCAATGTCTTATGGGATTATGGGAACAAGACTTGGGGTGCAGCTTAGGAGGCTGAGAGAGTTTCCGTTTGGGAGAGTGCTGGGCCCATGACAGGAGAAGGCCACTTACTGTTCTTTTTGTGGAGAGTGATGCAGCTGCTGCCAGCTGGGGTGAGGCAGATGTCAGATCCCAGAAGGCACCCTAACTCCTTGGTCTCCAAGAGGCATCGGTAGCAGCGCAGGTATTTGGGGAATGGAAGTGGTTGAGGGGGTTCCCAATTGACAGGAACAAACTTACCTAGAACACAGAGAAGTGCTGACCCCACTCACACCCCATTCTACCTCACACCCTACCACTGCCTGATTCCAGGCCACTCAGCCCCACTCCTCCCTCCCTTCCTGTCTCAGAAAACCATCAAAGCCCCAATTCTCTGCTTCCTTCCCCAACTGCATACACATACATCCCCCTTTTCCTCTGGTCCTAAGGCCAGACCACATGTTAACAAATCCCCAGACCCAGCAGAGCACTTGGTGTTAGGCAGAGGAAAGTGCTAAACCAACACTTTGAATCCTGTGTCTCTGTGGCTGGTGCTTTGCAGCCAAGTGGGGAGCCCAGCAGGCTGGACTCAGTCTTGTTCTATCCTGTGGATTCTGGTTTTCTCATCCAGCACACTCCCTAACCCTCCCTATTCTATGTTGCCCTCAGATCCAGAGAGGATTCCTTCAGTATCTCTATTCAGGTCACTGCTGTGAAGTGAGACAGCCCTGGGGTGGTCACTAGAAATCTCCTTCAGAGGCTGGGTGCGGTGGCTCACGCCTGTAATCCCAGCACTTTGGGAGGCCAAGGCGGGCAGGTACCTGAGGTCAGGAGTTCGAGACCAGCCTGGCCAACATGGTGAAACCCCGTCTCTACTAAATATACAAAAATTAGCTGGGCTTGGTGGCTTATGCCTGTAATCCCAGTTATTCGGGAGGCTGAGGCATGAGAATCGCTTGAACCCGGGAGGTGGAGGTTGCAGTGAGCCGAGATCTCGCCACTGCACTCCGGCCTGGGATACAGAGCGAGACTCCATCTCAAAAATAATAATAATAATAAATTTTTAAAAATCTTCAGATTGCACATCAGTCCATGAGCAGGCATTCCCTACCAAACCCATCTGTCCCATCTCTCCTCCTGCATGGGTTTACCTGAGCATCCTGGACAGGTGTACCCAGACACTTGGTGTCTGTGGGTTTCTCCATCCAGGCCAGGAGACCCTTCTGAACCCTTGGAGCCACTTACCAAACACCAAGCTCATCATGACCAGCACTATTAAGAGGACCGTGTAGAGGGCTTGGGGGCTGCTGTGGAAGCACAGGGGACCCAGACTCTGGCTCCCTGCAGGGCCTGCCATAAAACGCATGACTGCCTGCTGGCCTCCAGTTTGGGCTTATATTGGTGGAAGAGAGGTTGGCCAAGAGGAAGGAGAGAGGCAACACCAGCTCAGGGTGGAAATCAGTGCCAGACCAGCCAGAGGGGCAGAATGTTCGCACCCACAGCCACTCTGGGGCATAACATCCTGCTTGAGGGCAGGGGACCAGCAATAGGGGAATGAGAAAAGGAACTGTCTTTCCTATTAATTGGACAGATGTTTATTGAATCACTGCATCAGATGCTGGGGATACAACCCTGCACAAAGTCTCCACCCTCACAGGGCACAGTCTAGTAGGGGAGACAAGTCCACCAGCAATGATGTGGGGAGGGCAGAGTGCTGCCAGGAGCACCTCGACAGTTAAACCACTGACCAGAGGGATTTCGGCAGAGGAGTAACTTGATCGGATTTCTGTTTATAAAAGATTGCCATGGCTGCACATTGCATTTGGGTCAAGAGTGGAGGCCGCCGGGAAGTAGGACGCTATTCCCGAGTCCGGTCACAAGATGGCGGACTGGTCCGGCAGAAGACGAGCAGGGACGAGGAAGCGGGGCTAATGAACCTGAGATACAGTTAGAAGACTGGACAGATTTGCTGTTGGACTGAACGAGGGGTGAGGGAACAGGGGTAGGCTTGCACAAGGAAGTGGTACCATTTTCCAAGATAGGAAACATGTGGTCTGTCTCAAAAAAAAAAAAAAAAAAGCAAATAGGGGGTGCCCAGTCCCACTTCTCATACCCTGGGGACACCTGTCAGACATCCTAAAACAAGGACACCTGGATCCCAAGCGATACGTACTCAGCTCAGTGCTCCCTTGGGGTTCCAGGAACCCAGCGCCTTCCCTCACCTCATCCTTTTTCCTGCCCCGCCTGTGCTCAGCTGCGGCTCAGTGGGCCTGAACTCCGGAGCCCACAGAATCTGGCGCTGGGCGTCCGCTCTCCGCGCCTGACCGCACCTCAGAACTCCGGTAGGACGGGGGGGTGGCCCCCCGCTCAAGCTCTGTTCCCTGGGGAAGAAACCTGGAAAGTGCGAACCGCGCGTCGGGACCCAAGCGTCGGGCCCCAGCGGACATCCGGAGCCCGAAGCGGCTCCCCAGGAAGGCGGCGCCGTAGCGCCACTCTCCCTCCCAGGCGAATTCTGGAGACCGCGGCCCCAGGCGTCTCACCCATTTTCTCCGCTGGGGACCCGCTGGGCTCCCCATCCACGCCTACTCGGTCCCCACCCCACCAGCTCAGTCTTGACTCAGAAACTCAGGGTTTTTACTTTTAGGATCGTTGGGCTGTGCGTTAGGGGAGGAGGTGGTCCTCAGCGTCCTGGAACGACACCACCTGCTCCAATTTCCCGTCTGGAGGTTCTGGTCGAGGCTCCGAACTCGGGTTCCCTGCTACCTCCCAGACTATTCAAGAATTATCCAGTCCCAGGATGATAAGGGGGAAGATGGGAAGAAACAGACGGGAGACGCCCGCCCAGAAAGACTGCGGGAAGAAAGAAATTCGAGAGGAAACTGCACGCCACTGAGCGCCTCCCAAAAGCCTTGGAATGAATGAATTTAAAAACTATATTAGGGCCGGACTGCGGTGGCTCACGCCTGTAATCCCAGCACTTTGGGAGGCCAAGGCGGGTGGACTACCTGAGGTCAGGAGTTCGCACCCAGCCTGGCTAACATGGTGAAACCCCGTTTCTACTACAAATACCAAAAATTAGCCGGGCGTGGCGGCTCATGCCTGTAATCCCAGCACTTTGGGAGGCCAAGGTGGGGGATCATTCGAGGTCAGGAGTTCGCAACCAGCCTGAGCAACATGGTGAAACCCCGTCTCTATCAAAAAATACAAAAACATTAGCCAGGTGTGGTGGCGCACGCCTGTAGTCCTGGCTACTCGGGAGGCTGAGGCAGGAGAATCTCTTGAACCTGGGAGGCAGAGGTTGCAGTGAGCCGAGATCGCACCACTGCACTCCAGCCTGGGCGACAGAGTGAGACTCTGTCTTAAAGAAATAATAACACAAAATAAATTGTATTAGAGAAAAGCCAGAGTAGTGGAGAACTGCAGAGGAACGCGGGGCACCTACATAAATGTCTTGAATGAATGAGTGCACAGAGTGATAGACAAAAAGAATCAGAGGGCCGGGCTCCGTGGCTCACGCCTGTAATCCCAGCACTTTGGGAGGCCGAGCTGGGCGGATCACAAGGTTAAGAGATCGAGACCATCCTGGACAATATGGTGAAACCCCGTCTCTACTAAACATACAAAAATTAGCCAGGAGTGGTGGCGCCTGCCTGTAGTCCCAGCTACTCAGGAGGCTGAGGCAGGAGAATCGCTTGAACCCGGGAGACGGAGGTTGCAGTGAGCCGAGATCGCGCCACTGCACTCCAGCTTGGCGACAGAGCAAGACTCCGTCTCAAAAAAAAAAAAAAAAAAAAAAAAAAGAGAGCCAGGGGCTCCTCTTGAAGCGAAGAGGGCAAAGGGCAAAGGGGAAGCACAGGGGAACTTCGCGGCGCCCTCTGAAGCTCCCTCTCGAATATAATCGCAACGAAAAGGCCAACGACTAGAGGCTTTGCGAGGCTGAGGCTGGGCTTCGGGAGGGGATTGCCCTGAGAGGTCCGGGAGGACTTGCTGTGGAATTCAAGCGACCGTGGGCCTTGAGGGAACCGGGGGGCAAGACACCCACCCAGCATTCGCGGAATATTTCCTCGAATTATTTCGGGGAGGGGTGAGGCCGGGGCAGGGTGGGGCCTTCTTCGGAGGGGGCGCGGCCTCCGAGTAATTAATCCCGTCTTTGTTGCGTTTTGCTCCTCTCCTGTCCACCCAGCAGGGCCAGCCCAGGGCGCGCTAAGAGTCCAGAGAGTTCGTTTCCATGGTGACGGGTTCCGCGAAGGTTTTCCTGGGGTGAAGAGGCAGGGCGTTGAATAATCGCCATGGCGACAGCAGCAGATGACGGTGTCCCTTCTGAGTGCTCCTACCTAGAGTTAAGGGATACCTGAGGGTAAGCAACCGAGTGACGAAACAAAGAAGGCGGGGCCTGAGGACAGAACGCCAAGGTTAGGGGAATGGAGCCAGGCAAACGAGGGGCGGGGCTGTAGATGACCCGGTCGGGAGAGGGCCACGGTTTGTTGGGGGAGCGGCTCGAGATTGCGTTCTAGAGAGGAACCAGAGAGAGGGTCTTTAACCTAAATATAAATGAATGACTGGATTCCTGAAGAATCCGGAATGGCTTGTTGATTGGATAGATGGATGGATGGATGGACGGACGGACGGACCGATGGATGGAAATCTGGCTATCACTGACGCCTGAGCTCCCCACCCTCTTGGGCCCTCCACCTCCGGAGCCCTCACTCGCTTGTGACAGCTGTACGAGAAATACATGCCTCTCCTAGGAGCAAACCCTCAACCCAAACAGGCAGCACAGAGCCAGTCCAGCACCTCACACTGGAGGCACTCAGGGTGGAGCCCAGGTCGATGAGACGGCGTAGGATGAGGCTTTTTGGCCCAGCTGGGAACCACTTCTTTCCAGATTTCCCGTCCAGAGTCTAACTTTCCTTTCTCCCAGCGCCATCTTTTCTGCTAGTTTGCCCAGCTCCTCAGGGTGCCTGGACTTTCAGGCCTCACCTTGTGTCCAGTATAGCAGGGTCCAGCGCCCCAGCAACTGGGAAGGTCTGCATCTCTGCTGATCATCCCCTGGAACTGCTGGAACTTTGCTATATAGGGTGAGGAGTGGACAGGGGCCTGCTTCCACCCCTGGGTGGGGATTAGTTCTGAAAACAAACACAGCTGCTCTGAACCTTATTGCATAGGGAGTAATCTGAAGTAGGCTGAGGCCCCTGGATGGGGGGGTTCAGAATTCACATGTTGAGCCTACCTTTCTTTCCCTACCCAATTTCAGGTATCTAAGGGCCCCTCAGGTCATCCACTGTTGTCTACAATTACATGCAGTAAGATGGGGGAAAGTGGCAGTAGGGGCAGTTCAGCAGAGTCCCTAATGGCCATGTCCAGGGAGGGGTGTCCTTTGTCCCCAGGGTATGGGAGGTGAGACTGGGCACCCCTATTTGCTTTTTTTTTTTTTTTTTGAGACAGAGTCTCACTCTGTCACCCAAGCTGGAGTCCGGTGGCACGATCACAGCTCACTGCAGCCTCAACCTACCGTGATCCTCAGCCAAGCGATCCTCTTACCTCAGCCTCCAGAGTAGCTTGGAACACGGGTGCATGCCACCATGCCTGGGTAATTTTTAAATTTTTTGTACTGATGGAGTCTCCCTATGTTGCCCTGTCCAGTCTTGAACTTCTAGGCTCAAGTGATCCTCCTGCCCCAGCCTCCCAAAGTGCTGGGATTACAGATGTGAGCCACCATGCCCAGCTCCTCTTTGCATTTAAGGAGCTTCCCTTAGCTGAACAAAAATTTAGTTTTCAGGGGATTAACTCTTCTGTTGGATCTGGGAGGATGGGATTCAGAACTGTGCAGCTGGCTCCAGAGCTTCATGTTCCACACTTCCCATCGTTTGCCCCCCTGGAATGGGATAGAGGAGAGGGCACCAGTATCAGCTATCCACCTGTTTGCTAACGGTGGAGCATTATGGAGCTGTGGTCACCTGCCTCTTCTAACTCCAAATTTCAGGCATCACATCACCTGATTAAGTCTCAGATCTCCACTTCCAGTGGAGACTCAGTATATCTTCCCTTAAGGAGTTGCAGCGCTAATGGGGGCACACACAGCCTCTGCCCTGGGGTTTCAAGAAGAGCTTCATGCACTGGGTTTGGAGAAGACACAGAAATTTAGCCAGAGACTCCATCTAGGACATTAGAACATTGTCGCCCACGTTAAGTATCTTGCTCAAAAGAATGGAGTTGGCCGGGCGCGGTGGCTCACGCCTGTAATCCCAGCACTTTGGGAGGCAGAGGCGGGTGGATCACGAGGTCAGGAGATCGAGACCATCCTGGCTAACACAGTGAAACCCCGTCTCTACTAAGAATACAAAAAATTAGCCAGGCGTGGTGGCAGGCGCCTGTAGTCCCAGGTACTAGGGAGGCTGAGGCAGGAGAATGGCGTGAACCCAGGAGGCGGAGCTTGCAGTGAGCCGAGATTGTGCCACTGCACTCCAGCCTGGGTGACAGAGCGAGACTCCGTCTCAAAAAAAAAAAAAAAAAAAGAATGGAGTCGGCTGAGGTGGGTGGATTGCCTGAGCTCAGGAGTTTGAGACCAGCCTGGGCAACATGGTGAAACCTGTCTCTACTAAAATACGAAAAATCAGCTGTGTGTAGTGGCACACACCTGTAATCCCAGCTACTTGGGAGGCTGAGACAGGAGAATCGCTTGAACTTGGGAGGCAGAGGTTGCAATGAGCTGAGATCGTGCCACTGCACTCCAGCCTAGGCGACAGAGTGAGAATCCATCTCAAAAAACAAACAAAAAACCATCCCCAACAAAATAAAACAAAACAAAAATGGACTCAGGGCGATAAACTTTGGGGTCTTTCATCTGGAAAAGAGAAGTTTCCAAATGAAGAAAGTGGCCAGCGGCCAGGCGCAGTGGCTCACACCTTTAATCCCCAACACTTTGGGAAGCCAAGGCGGTTGGATCACCTGAGGTCAGGAGTTCGAGACCAACTTGGCCAACATGGCGAAACCTCATCTTCACTAAAAATACAAAAATCAACTGGGTATGGTGGCGCATACCTGTAATCCCAGCTACTAGAGGGGCTGAGGCTGGAGGATCACTTGAACCTGGGAGGTGGAGGTTGCAGCAAGCTCAGATTGTGCCACTGCACTCCAGCCTGGGCAACATAGTAAGACTCCATCTCCAAAAAAATAAAAAAAACTGCCAGGCAACAAACCAATGGGTGGAAGAGGGATTTATTCACTGTGTTCCACAAGGTCCAAAGTTAGAGATAGATGGCAGTTATAGGGAACCAATTTCCTCAGGTACAACCTAAGCATCTTCTCCTAACAGAGCCGTCCAAAAGGCAAAGTATGGCTCTGAGAAGACATGAGTCCTTGGCACCTGGCCCTCCGTCCCTGGCAGGGCCTGTGTTTGTTGAACTGCAAAAAGGCTGTGAGGACAGAGACTTGATGACATGGCAAGGTGGGTGTGCAGGGTTTGCTGCATAAGACGTGGGGAGCAGGCCCTTCCTCACTCTTCACCAAGATAACAAGAGGTGAGCAATGAAAATTGGGGGTACTGCTAGTAACACCATGCAGGTTGAACCTGGAAACCAGCAGAAGCACTGGGTAGGTGAAATCGGATCCTAGAAAGCTCATGAGCCGTAAGCAGGAGGGGGCAACCATGGGCTCCTGGGGTGGTTGTATGCAGGAAGAACTGAAGAAGGAGGCGGGAGGGGCCAGGGAGGCTGCACAGTTGTGATAACAGTAGGCACATCAGGGACCGGGGAGGTTTGGGGACCTGCTGCCTGAGGAAAGCTCAGGTTAGGGGCTGAAGGCCTAGGGGGACACAGAGATGGGAAGGGTTAGATTAGCTAGATTGTCTAGAGTTAGGGTTTCCCAAAGCCCAGCTCTTTGGGGCCTCTGCTCTCCCCACTACCTGCCCCTGGCTCCCTGGACACTTGAGAAGTTATACAATTAGCCTGATAGTAGAAAAAATACCTTTTTATTAATTATTAGGAATAATCCATTCATGTAATGCAGGATGTATGTTGGAGAAGGTTAAGTACAGCCACATGAATGAGGGGAAACGTGCAAGAGGAACAGTGGTGAGAAGGGGGATGGTCCCCCACTTTCCACAAACTATAAACAGCAACATGAACACAGAGAATCACAAATAAGAGGGTCTTTCCTCATGTCTCCTCTCACCCCATTCTTCCATAATGAGTCCCAGTTGGTCCCTAGAGGTGCCAGGGCATCTGGAAGTTCTGGGCTGGGAGTGGGGTGCAGTGAGTGGCCTCAAAGTTGTGCAGATGCTTCCGAGCCTGAGGAAAGGAGGTGGGACAGGTGGGGTACAGAGCACTGTTGGGAGGGGCAGCCACTGGACTCCCTCCCCACCCTCCACTTCCGCATCCACCACCCACTCTACAAAAGCTGCCACTTCCAATGCTTATAGGGTATCCCCAGTCCCCCTATGTGAGCCCTGGCCATTCAAGAACCCTTCCCACTTCCCACTCCTTAGCTCACCAGAAACAAAGCCAGCTGCCGCCGTCCATCTGCACTCATGTCCTCCCCTGCAGAGAGGAGGCGCTCAAAATAGGCCACACATCTGGGTATTCATCCCCTTCCTAGGCCCTTCCCACCCTCTCTCCTGCCCCAGGAGCTCCTTACCCACGCTCCAGGGGAAGTCGGGCCCGTGTTCTGCCTGGTAGGAGCGGAGGACAGACAGACACCAGTCCTCTTCCACCTCCCATCGGCTATAAATTGAGGCTGGTCAGGGAGAGAGATGACAGCCAGTCAGCAACCTGACCTTGCTGGGCCCCCGCCCCAAGCCTCACTGGATCCCTTCTCACCTTCCTCCAGCTGTGAGGAGGCCTCCAACCACTGCCTCACCACTCGAAGACCCTCCTCTGCCATCACCCGGGGATACCTACGGAGGAAGTGCCAGGACAGGTCAGGGCTGATTTTTTTTCATTCACCATCCCTGAACCTTCCTCCCTCCTTCCCTGTGCTGGTATCAGTATCTGTGTGTGTACACTGCCCCCAGCGCGCACACACCCTGGCTCTCACCGATGCTGCAGGAGCTTCAGCAGGAGGTCATTGCCTCGGTTGGACATGATGTCCTCAGGAACCCTGGGGGTGAGAAGAATGTACCCTGGAGGGGCTGGAGGTTAGGAGGAAGGGTCTAGATACCCAGGTTTCTGGTGGGCAGAGGTAGAAGGGACAAGTTCCTGGCCATCTCTGGGGTTCCTGAGGGCCGAGATTCCCACGCACTCACGTGGTGGTGATGATCTCATCCTTGGTTCTCCGGATCAGCAGTACAGGACCCTGGTATCTTCAGAGAACAGAGCAGTGGGAAGGGAGAGCTCAGAGGGAGACGGGTGACAACTGGCCCACCCCTATCCCTGCACTGGTAGCATTCTTACCCTCCCCTTGCTATAGCACAGCCCTTGACCTAGCCCTTCACTCAGGGGTGAGA
The DNA here is from genome assembly GCF_000001405.40 of Homo sapiens. NCBI lineage: Eukaryota > Metazoa > Chordata > Mammalia > Primates > Hominidae > Homo > Homo sapiens. Next base: position 3,030,322 of record NT_167247.2, read on the forward strand.
GGGGATTATTTAAGGGGCATGGTTCAGTCTGGCCCTGCTGGGAGACCCCTGCCGTGCCAGGCCTTAACCCTTTGGTTGCCAGATCCTGAGGTGGTCCAGAGTCCCAGGGGACCTGGGAGGGGTTAGGCCAGTTGAGGTGGTGGCAGGGTCACTCAGGATGTGAGCCAGTGGCCTTTTACCAACTTGCACTTTAGTACTAGTTTCAGGGTTTGAGCGCCCAGCAGAGCTGTATGGGGGGCAGGTGTTCAATGCCGGACGCTGGCCGGCCCTCACCTGCACAGCTGCTCCGCGTTGTTTAGATTGAGATGCTGCCTCACGGTCCTGGTCACCAGGCCCCCTAGAGTGGGATAAAGGTGAAGGGATGGCAGAGACAAAGCCCTTGCCCAACATAAAGGTCCTCACTATTCACGGAGAAAGAAAACTGAGGCCCCCAGACAAAGGAGTCCTCCTGCTTCCAACAATGGGGCGACTTACTCCCCACCCAAGAAAAGGGAGCCATCTCAGAACAGTTCCCAGTTCCAGCCCACCCCTTCCCAGGAAGGGCAGGCCTGGGAGCTGCACTCACTCCAGCTGTCTGGCATGACCTTCAAGGCCAAGGGCACCAGGTCATCAAAGGAGGCATCCAGGATCATGGCACTAACATCTGGGTAGGACATGGCTGCCCACGTGGCTGGTACCAGGGCAGGGAAGAAGAGTAAGAACTGAGAAAGGCTCCTTTCTCCCCACCACCCATGCTCTCATCCCACTGACCCTATAGGCCAACCCCATTCCCCCTATGTTATCCCTTGTTTTTTTCTTAACCTACTTCACTTGGTTAGGGAACTATCTGGAGAGGATGGGGATAGAACACTGGAGATAGTGCACTGAAGATAATGGGCAGGAAACATTCACTTTCCCTGATCTCCCCACCCAGGACCTGGGTCTGCTTTTCCTTTTAATGACTGGGCACAAGAGGGGAAGGAAAGGTGAAGTGTATGCAAATAGGATAGCTTCTTCCAGGCCCACTCAGAGATTCTACTTCCTCTCTCTTCTTCCTTGAGCCTCCACCCCACCCCATTTCCCCACCTCTCCCGGGTGGGGCTGGGTGGTCATGAATGTGTCTACAGTGGGGGATGGGAGGGAGGCTGGTACCAGTGAAGCCGCCGATGGACCAGGCGTAGATGATGATGTCCTGGGGCTGGAAGCCCAGGCGGTGGATGGCAAACTGGACCACCACATCCATGGCATTAGCCTCATTCTGCGGGAATGGCACCCCCTGCAGGAGAAAGGGCAAAGTCAGGAGTGTGTCAGCACCAAAGGCCAGCTCACCTGTCCCTCCCAACGTGGACCCCTCCTGCAGCCACCTATGACAGGCAGAGAAGGTGTAGAAGGAAGGGATGGTAGGAGAGGTTGTTCTCTCCAGAAGACGGATGTGTACAATGAGATCTACCTCCTCCTCTCCTGCTAGCCCCGCACTGTGGGGATGGGGGCATGGCTCCCAATGCTGCCTTCACAACCTCCTAGACCCCAGCCCTCAGGTGAGTGGGACGCCTTCAAGAAATCCACAGCCCCTCTCCTCCCTCCAATGGCTGACCAGAGGGAAACAGACATAATTCAGGAAAAGGAAGGGATTCCTGAGATGGTCTCACCGTGCTTCCAGCAAAGCCTGGATGATTCCAGCCCAGGACTGAATATCCAGCTGTAACACAGGGGGAGGAGGGACTGAGACCTTGTGGCCCACAGCCCTTTCTCCATCCCTGGGGGAAGGAAGAGCAGAAGTACCCCCCAGCTTAGATGCAAATAACTCCAAGCCTTCCCAGAAATAGGAGATGACACCAGAGGTTCTGAGGCAGCACAGGGAGCAGCATGTGATTGTGTGGGGTGTGTGGTGGGGGAATGGAACAGAATGAAAAGCATAATAGCTAGGGACACAGGCCAGGGGAGGGATGTAAGGTTATCAAAGCAAATGGCGAGTGGACTTTTCCCTAAAGCTGAGAGACTCAAAACCTCACCCAGAGAAAGCAGAGGCCAGGGGAGGTCAGGTCAGTGTGGGAGGCAGGGACATTCCCTTTCAAAGGGCGGAGATAAGGAGGCTGAGTCACCGTCCTACCTTCCAGGGGCGTGGAGACGCAGCCCACCTCATAAAACCCAGCATTCCCCTCACAGCAGATCACCTAGGAAGGAGGCAGGAAGGAAGGGCTGGGGGGCCAAGTTGGGACTGAAAAACTCCCTTTGGGCAGGGAGGGCAGCCCATGAAGAGCTTTGCAGGGAAGAGGAAAGGGCAGGTTTCTGTTTTCTCCAAGGGGAATGGAAGCTTCTCATTCCACAGGGTCCATAAGAGGAGAAGCAAAGGGATTACAAATACTCCTCAGAGGCTGACCTGCTCGACCACCCAGCCATGTCTTTTCCTTGGAAGATTACCAGCTGGATCTCTTTCAGGAAGGGGACTATGGAGATGTTTTTCCTTTCTCGTTTTCGGGTCTGTTATCTTCTGTGACCATTGCTATTGTGTGGTATGCTGATTGCTCTCCCTATCCCTCTCTGAGCTCCAGTCTTATGGTCAGATAAACTGTAATGCCATGGCGCCCCAAGCTGAAACCCACGAATGGTGGGATTTGCATGAACTCTCATAACAGATGGGCAGAGCCAGGACTAGAACCCAGCTCCCTAGACTCCTGGCTTAGCGCTCTTTCCACGGCTGCTTCATGGAGGTAGGAGACTTTGAGGCCAGGCTGCCTGGGTCCAAATACCAGCTCTACCACTTACTGTGAGGTCCAGGAAAGGTTTTCTGTGCCCCAGTTTCATCTCCTGTAAAATGGGCTAATATAAGCAGTACCTATCTCACGGGATTCTTTTGAGAATTAAATATATATGCTTCATATATATATGAGAATTAAATATATATAAGTGTGAAGTGCTGTCAAAGTGGTAACTATTAATATTAGTTTCTCGTCCTTGAACGTCTCTCCTACTTCATCTGTTTCTCTATCACAGGGTTTCACTACATCACAAGGTCTTTAGCGTGGAGCTAGGACATGAGATTATCCCCAGTAGTGGTTCCTTCAGGGAGGTGCTATAGCATTGGGGTCCCCAGACCTCTACTGCCTTCCTCACACTCACCCCACCTCTGGGCTCTCTGCTCCCTCTTACCAGCTTCTGTCCCTGGGGCTCAGCTGTCCCCCGCCGGTCCACAAACATGGTGTCAATCTCATTGCCATCACAGGCCAGCAGCTTTGCCCGGCGCCCATTACACTGAGTACGGAAGACGCAATGGCCAAGATGCAAGGGTCAGGAGGCCACATCACAGGGGTGGGGCGGGGTGGGTGGGGGTGAGAGGGGAGGGCTTTAGGGGATGTGCGGGCAGGGAAGCCTCACCTCTTCCACCAGTCGGGCCTGGCCCTGCAGCAGCACAGGCATGAGGGCCTTCTGCAGCAGGTACACAGAGCCTGGATACAGCATCCGGCGCCCTAGGGTGTGCGCCACCAGGTAGCTGTGGGGAACACAGGTTAACAAACCCCAACCCTGTTGAGGCCTGGGGACTGTGCTGGGGACCATCCCAGCCCTAGCACTCACAGACTGTAAGGCCTGCTTTACCCCTGACCTTCACAGCTTTACTTTCCTCTTTCAAGCCTTAATGAAATATGTACCAGGCTAGTGTTTTGCAAACTTTTCTTACTGCAACCTTTGTAAGATAAACATTTTATATTGTGGCTCAGTGCACACATATCCTGTATGTACAGAATTCTGAGAGTTTTATGATGTAACTGTCTATACATAATAAGTAAATGCAAAGTTATCATCAGATTATGATTCTGTTAAAATATAAGTACAACATATTAAAGGTCCCCAAATAAATAATGCTTTAAAAAATGATGGTTATAATTCAAAACCTCAAATATGGCTTGCCTCCCTGACTAATTAGCACACTGTCAACAACCAACCACTAAGTCCACCCTGTTCCTTGGTATTCTAGAAGCTGCCTCCTAACTCCCAGCAAAAGAAAATTCCCAGTGTCTGTTCCACTATAAGATATAGGTGGTTATTTCCGTTCCTTCTGACATCATCAGTACCCACGACTGAGCTTTATTTGGGATTTACCATGTGCTCTCAAGCACCCAGGCAAGGCAGGAGCCCTTCAGAACATGTTACCTTACTTAATCTCCTCAGCAACCTTGCAGGGCAGGTTCATCACAGGTGCAGACACTGAGGCACACAGGGGCCCGGAGCCAAGGTGGAATAACAACAGGGCAGAGGGGCCACGATGGGTACACAGATGCTACCAGAGCCTGCCCTAGCTACAAGTGTGTGTCCTCCCCACCCCCACCCCACCCCCACTGCTCCTTTTCAGCCTCACTGAAGGAGCTTTTGTTCATATCCCAGTTCTTTACTTACTACATTTGAGACTCCAGACCTCTCTGAGCCTCTTTTCTTCAAACATAAATATGGATAAAAATGACTTTGCCATAAATGATCTACACAAACCATACAGCACTAGGCCCAATGAGTGACAGCTATTTTACAATGGAGCGCCCACTCCCAGAGCACTCCTGAAATGGCCCCTCCACCCCAGTGGGCCTCTCCTCGCTGCTGTTTCCCACCTGGTGATCTGACAAGGCAGCTTCTTAACCCGGTTGAGGAGGGTGTCTGCTGTCCCCCGGTGCAGGGGCTCTGGGCGAAGCAGGGCCACACCCCGGCGGGAAGGGCCCCCTCGAGACTCCTTCCTGAGGAAGGGAAAGATGCAGGGAAGGATAGGGTCAGGAGCAGCAAGCTGGATGTCTGAGGTCTGGAGAACAGTGGGGTCTAGGAACGACATAATGGCATTGGAAGGCAGGCACTGTGACCTGAGAGGGCATGGAGGTGGGAGGGCAGAGCAGAGATTTTCTGGAATGGTTCTAAGGGGAGAGATACAGCAAAAGAACTGGGGCCTCACCGGCTGCTGGGTTCTTCCCAGTGGAAGTCGACTGGCCAGCTCCGGAAGTCAAAGTTGTAGTTGGCAAGCTGCCTCTGCAGTGGGCACGAGAGGCAAAGGGGTACTGAGAACTCAGGGGAGGCTCTCCTACCCACCCTCAACAACACCTTCGTTATCCAGGGGTCTGATCCCCACACATCATGGGGAAACCAAGCGGAGGTCAATACCCTCCCAATTCTCAGATGGAAAATTCTAACAGGACCAGAAAATCAGGGGAGATGGTATGCCCCATCAGGTATCAGGACTGGCCTGTCTGCCCTCTTCCAAGCTAAGAACCTAACACTCTGCTTTTCTAAAAAACTAAGTCTGACCCATCCCCAGGAGGAGTGGCTGAAGGTGCTAGTGCTTTTGAGTGACGGGTAGTAGGGGTCGCTGGCTGGTCACGGTCTATTCCCCACCTGGGTCCCTTATAGGGTGCTGTCTTAGAAGCTTAGAAATCTCCCAGCAGATCACACTGACAGACCCAAGGTTGAGTGAGACAGAGAGGAGGGAAGTCACGCCCACAGTGGGCTCCTCTGCCATGTGGGGCCACCCGTTGAAGGAAGCTCTGACTTCCATCCTCACAACTACATCCCTTCCTCAACTCCTGCAGCCATGGATCAGTGTTGCCCTACAGCCCATCCGAACCTCGGGCCACCCCACTGAGCCAGTCCACATGCCTTTTTTTTTTTTTTTGAGGCAGGGTCTCGTGCTGTTGCCCAGGCTGGAATGCAGTTGGTGCAATCATAGCTCACTGCAGCCTCAAACTCCCAGGCCCAAGTGATCCTCCTACCTTAGCCTCTGGAGTAGCTGGGACTACAGACATGTGCTACCATGCCCAGCTAATTTTTAAAATTTTCTTTAGAGACAAGGTCTTACTATGTTGCCCAGGCTGGTCTCCAACTCCTGGGCTGAAGCGATCCTCCTGCCTTGGCTTCCGAAAGTGCTGGGATTATAGGCATGAACCACCTCACCAGCTCCACGTTTTTTGACGGCAGTGGGAGCTGTGTCTTTTTTTTTTTTTTTTTTTTGAGATGGAGTCTCACTCTGTCGCCCAGGCTGGAGTGCAGTGGCACGATCTCGGATCACTGCAAGCTCTGCCTCCCGGCTTCACGCCATTCTCCCGCCTCAGCCTCCAAGTAGCTGGGACTACAGGTGCCTGCCACCACCATGCCCGGCTAATTTTTGTACCTTTAGCAGAGATGGGGTTTCACCATGTTAGCCAGGATGGTCTTGATCTCCTGACCTCGTGATCCACCCGCCTCGGCCTTCCAAAGTGCTGGGATTACAGGTGTGAGCCACCGCGCCCGGCCTAGCTGTGTCTTAATACTTGACTATATTCGTCCCCCACCCCCTGAGCTCCTAGCACTCTATTTTGAGGGTTTTTATTTTCTGCACAGAAATTTTTTGACATTTCAAAAATAATTTGACTAACAGAGAGCAATAGAAAAATTATACAAAAAGGTAAATGGCAAAACAAAACAAGATGACTAAAAGCAAATTTCAGGCAGGCTTTGCTCAGACCTGCTCTCAAATCTGGACTTAGCCACTTTCTTGCTCTATGACTCCGAATGGGTCACTTAACCTCTTTTTGCCTCTGTTTTCTCACATTTACAAATAAAGGTAATAATGCCACCTCACTCAGCTGTTGTGAGGATCAGAAAGGGTGTGTGCCAAATGCTTCAGCCAGTAGCATAGTACAGGGCATCATTACGCAGCTCCATAGTGTGGAGTAGCCAGGAATGTGATGATGGTGGTCATAGCTGTTTGATCCTAGAAACCTCCCATAACAGAAAAGAGCTCTATGGGGCCCCAAAGCCCATCCTCAAAGATAATCACAGTCCAGCACCAGCCGGCTTGGCATAATTCCCAAGACACTGAGCCCTAGCTTTTCTCCCTCCTGGCACCATGCTGTACTCCCAGGCATAGGAGTGGACACACCTGTCCACCTTGTCCCATCCACAAACAAGGATAGCATGGTATTCAATGCATACAACAAAATTAAACATTTATAGAACTGAGCTGCTGTGATACAGAGAAAACTACCTTCTAAGAAACATTGTGGGCTGGGTGCAGTGGCTCACACCTGTAATCCCAGCACTTTGGGAGGCCAAGGCAGGTGGATCACCTGAGGTCAGGAGTTTGAGACCAGCCTGACCAACACAGCTAAACCCCATCTCTACTAAAAATACAATATTAGCTGGGCGTGGTGGCGCATGCCTGTAATCCCAGCTACTTGGGAGGCTGAGGCAGGAGAATCGCTTGAACCCAGGAGGCGGAGGTTGCAGTGAGCTGGAATCATGCCATTGCACGCCAGCCTGGGCAACAAGAGCGAAACTCCATCTCAAAAGAAAAAAAAAGAAACACTGTGGGCCAGGCACAGTGGCTCACACCTATAATCCCAGCACTTTGGAAGGCCAAGGCAGGCAGATCGTCTGCAGTCAGGAGTTCAAGACTAGCCTGGCCAACATGATGAAACCCTGTCTCTGCTAAAAATACAAAAATTGGCCAGGCACGGTGGCTCACGCCTGTAATCCCAGCACTTTGGGAGGCCGAGGCAGGCGGATCACAAGGTCAGGAGATCAAGACCATCCTGGCTAACATGGTGAAACCCCGTCTCTACTAAAAATAAAAAAATTAGCCGGGCGTGGTGGCAGGCGCCTGTAGTCCCAGCTACTCAGGGGGCTGAGGCAGGACAATGGCATGAACCCGGGAGGCCGAGCTTGCAGTAAGCTGAGATGGCGCCACTGCACTCCAGCCTGGGCGACAGAGTGAGACTCCGTCTCAAAAAAAAAAAAAAAAAATTAACTGGGCGTGGTGGTGTGCACCTGTAATTCCAGCTACTCAGGAGGCTGAGGCATGAGCATTGTTTGAACCCGGGAGTTGGAGGTTGTAGTAAACTGAGATTGTACCACTATACTCCAGCCTGAGTAAGAGTGAGACTCTGTCTCAAAGAAGAAAAAAAAAAAAAGAGGCCAGGAGTGGTGGCTCACGCCTGTAATCCCAGCACTTTGGGAGGCTGGGGCAGGCAGATCGCCTGAGGTCATGAGTTGGAGACCAGCCTAGCCAACATGGTGAAACCCCGTCTCTACAAAAAATACAAAAATTAGAGGGTGTGGGTGGTGCGTGCCTGTAATCCTAGCTACTCAGGAAGCTGAGACAGGAGAATCACTTGAACCTGGGAGGTGGAGAGTGCAGTGAGCCGAGATCGTGCCATTGCACTCCAGCCTGGGCAACAAGAGCGAAACTCCATCTCAAAAAAAAAAAAAGAAAAAGAAAAAAGAAACATTGTGGAATGTTTCTAGTTTAGCCAGTTCTTACAGGTGAGGGAGGGGGAAGATTGTTCTAGCAGAATATTCCATTAGAAGTGGTAGGGAGGAAAAATTCCTCAGGTGGACAGTTCACTAATGGAGGTGAGAAGGGATACAGCAATGTGCAAGCAAACACCCAGTGTGGTGGGTGGTAAAACACACCTCCTCTTCCTGCAGAAGCCAGTGTCTGGTGCTCTGAGGGACAACTGAGAAAGCTGCTATTGGGTGCCTGTGTGGCACTTTTCCTAGGGCCTCTCACCTTGTTTTCTGAAGACTGGTTCCGATGTGTTGCTTCCAAGATGGTGATGAACTGCCGGTACTGGGGGTTGGTCCAGCGGCCAATGCCTGGTAGAAAAAGGACAGGAAACAGTGCTAGGAAAACTGGGAAGCAGAAAGCCTAGGTTTTAGGAAAAGAATTGGAGATGGGCTAGAAGAAGGCCCTGTAAGAAAAAGTGAAAGAAAAAGGAACTGAGGGCATAGGATGCGGAGAAATAGATGTGAGCCAACCCCCTTCCTCCAAATCCAGCAACTGGCTACAGGACGCTTCTTCTCCCTAGCTTCTGCAGTTTGTGTCTTTATAGACAATCCTTAACCTACCATCTTCCAGAATGTTCCTCTTCCTCAGTCTTTAAACACTGTCATATAACCTATTAAATGACACTATTAAACACTATCATATAATACTATTCTCCCTTGCGAATATCAAATTTCTCTATTTTTCACTGCCATTCTTCTCCAATGTTTGCTTTCTGCCTCTTTTCTGTATATTCTAGCCCCTTGCCATCTGGCTTCAGAGTCTCCGACTCCTGCCCATAATTACTTCCTCACTGAATTCCTGACTCTTCTATCCTCATTCTCTTCAACTGTACTACTCAGCATTCTCCCTGTCCCTCAAGATTCTTCCTGCCTCTGCTTCCTGGGCCCATCCTTGACTCCTTCCAGTTCCTGAACAGTTCCTCTCCTGCCTCCTTTCTGCTTTCCTTTCTGAAGCAGAAGCAACTCTCAGTGCTGACTCTCTCTCCTCTCTCTTTTCACTTACACAGTCAGTGATTGCATCCACTCTCCTTTCACTGCTGAGCCACCTCAAACCCTAACTTCTCTCCTCACTGACTTGGCAGGTGTCGTGTGTCAGACAGGCACCGTACTACACACGGGAGACTCAGCAGGAAATGAGATACACAGCTCCTGGCTCTCAGAGAGCTGGCATTCTGGTTGGGGTTAGGTACAGCCAGGAGAAGACAATAAACAACATTTCAGAGAGGGATAAGTGCTACAGAGAAAATACAACAAGAATGAACCAGAACTTTATGTGTCATCAATGGTATTCCCCCAAAACGATATGATGAGAGAATGATGTGTGCTGCAGAATGATTTGTACAACATTTATGCCAAAAATGTAAAATGTGCAAAATAATACATACTGCTTATAGATACCATATTTCATAGATTCTAAAATGTATATTTTTTAACCCTTGAAAACTCTGAAATTAGAATTCATTTTACAATTGATGGCAGCTTAGACTTGAGGAACTGAGGTATATGTTTCATAAAAGTATGTGCCAGAAAAAAAAAAAACCCACACCAAATGACAATTATTACTTCTGAGGAAAGAGGAAGATGGGACTGAAAGGATTCCAATGGGAACTCCAACCCTAACTGTGGTGCTTTAGTATTTTGTTGACAGAAAGCATTTAAAGCAAATATCACAAAACTATATATAAAAAAAAAATCACAAAACTATACATCAAAAAATTTAAAAAGGCTTTTATATTTTGTTCTCTGGACTTTTCTGTATTTTTTCTTTTTTCTTTTTTTTGAGACAGAGTTTTGCTCTTGTTGCCCAGGCGGGAGTGCAATGATGTGCTCTCGGCTCACTGCAACCTCCGCCTCCCGGGTTCAAGTGATTCTCCTGCCACAGCCTCCCAAATAGCTGGGATTACAAGCGCCCGCCACCATGCACAGCTAATTTTTTCTGTATTTTTTCTAAATTAAAAATAAATAAAATAAAAAACTAAGACAAAACTGAGCAGTGGGAGCTACTTTTAGACAGGGTGGTCAGGGAAGGCCTCTCTGAGGAGAGAGCCCAGCCCTGCAGAGATCAGGGGGCAGAACACCTCAGGCAGAAGGTCCTGGACCCAACTGCGACCATCCAGCCCTGACCCCACCACCCCCATGTTGAAGCATCGCCCATCACCTGGTTGTCATCTTATGTACCCACTAGGGGTAGGTGATCTGTCCTCTTTATTTTTTTAAATTGCGAGATACAACATATGTACATAAAACATATATTCAGTTTAAAAAATACAAAGCAAACATTCATGTGACTATCACCTAGGTCAACAAAGAGAACACAGCCACCTCTCAGCAGGGCTCTCCCCCACTCTGTTCTCCCCCACCCCAGGTAATCACTCTCCTAACTTTTGAGAAAACCATGCCCTTGCTGGGCGCGGTGGCTCAAGCCTGTAATCTCAGCACTTTGGGAGGCCGAGGCGGGTGGATCACGAGGTCAGGAGATTGAGACCATCCTGGCTAACACGGTGAAACCCCATCTCTACTAAAAAATACAAAAAAACCTAGCCGGGTGTGGTGGTGGGCGCCTGTAGTCCCAGCTACTCGGGAGGCTGAAGCAGGAGAATGGCGTGAACCCGGGAGGCGGAGCTTGCAGTGAGCCGAGATCGCGCCACTGCACTCCAGCCTGGGGGACAGAGCGAGACTCCGTCTCAAAAAAAAAAAAAAAAAAAAAGAAAACCATGCCCTTGTTGTCTTCGGTGTTCTACCTCAAACATGCACATCCCTTTTGAATTTTATATAAATGAAAACATACTGCATACATTATTTTGTGGTTAGCTTCTTCTATTTAACACAACATTTGAGAAATTCATCTGCATTGCTTTTGTTTATCTGGAGACAGAGTCTCGCTCTGTCACCCAGACTGGAGTGCAGTGGTGCTATCTTGGCTCACTGCAACCTCTGCCTCCCAGGTTCAAGCAGTTCTCATGCCTTAGCCTCCCAAGCAGTTAAGACTATAGGCATGTGCCACCATGCCCAGTTAATTTTTTGTATTTTATTTTTTCTGAGATGGAGCCTTGCTCTGTTGCCCAGGATGCAGTACAGTAGCGCAATCTTGGCTCACTGCAACCTCTGCCTCTTGGATTCAAGCAATTCTACTGCCTCAGCCTCCCGAATAGCTGGGATTACAGGTGCTCACCACCATACCTGGCTAATTTTTTTTTGTATGTTTAGTAGAGACGGGGTTTCACCATGTTGGACAGACTGGTCTTGAACTCCTGACCTCTGGTGATCTGCCTGCTTCAGCCTACCAAACTGCTAGGATTACAGGCATGAGCCACTGCACCTGGCTTCATCTGCGTTGTTGAGCGTAGCTACAGTTTGTTCATTTGCATTGCTATATAGTGTTCTCTTGCATGGCTATTGCATGGAACTTTTTTTTTTTTTTGAGACGGAGTCTTGCTCTGTTGCCCAGGATGGAGTGCAGTAGCGCAATCTCGTCTCACTGCAACCTTTGCCTCCCAGGTTCAAGCTATTCTCCTGCCTCAGCCTCCTAAGTAGCTGGGATTACAGGCACGTGCCACCATGCCCAGCTAATTTTTGTATTTTTGGTAGAGACGGGGTTTTACCATGTTGGTCAGGCTGGTCTCAAATTCCTGACCTCGTGATCCACTGGCCTCTGCCTCCCAAAGTGCTGGGATTACAGGCATGAGCCACCACACCCGGCCACACAGAACATATTTTATCCATCCTACTATTTGTAGCCACTGGAGTTGTTTCCAGCTTAGGATTATTACAAACAATGTTGTATGCTGTATTCTTGTACATCTATATTGTTTATACATGTGCAGGAGTTTTCCTAGTATGTATACATATATAGAATTGTTGTAGGGTATATGCATCTTTTCTAGATAAAAGCAGCCAGGCATAGTGGCTCACATCTATAATCCCAGTACTTCGGGAGGCTGAGGTGGGAGGATCACTTTGAGTTCAGGAGTTTGAGACCAGCCTGGACAACATGGTGAGACCCTATCTCTTAAAAAAAAAAAAGCAAACCTTTTTGTTACTTTTCAGTTATTTTTTCATATTTATAACCCAAGTCTTTTAAGGAAAAGATCATGCCTTAAACCATTCTCAATGATTCCCTCTCGGAGGCCCATCACTAAAATGTATTTGCACAAGGTACTTAATTTTTAACCAGTGACAGTGACAGATAAGATTCAAACCAGGTTTCCTCTCCACCTACCTCGGAGGCAGGCCACACCTGCCAGAAGTAGCAGCAATGTCCCAGCATAGTGAGAAAACGGCACCACTTTGGACAAACTCAAGTAACCTGGGAAGGGAGAGGGACAATGTGAGACCCTCTCCGCAATGTCCCTCAGCTCCTCTTCCCAGTTCAGCCCCAACCTCCACCCCACACTCCCTGTTTGGAACAGCCATACCCTAAGAGGAAGAAGATGCCTGATGGAAGAGGGAAGCCAAGCCATCTTCACAGGTCCCCTCTCCTCTTTAGGGAGCTGGCTCATCTGCCAACAACCTGCCCATTTGCTACCCCACCACCTTTGAAACCACACTGACCTTTCCTGTACAAGTAGAAGAAGGCGAAGGGAGAGGAGTAATAAGAGATGGACCAGAATACTGAAGCCTGCAGCAGAGAGACAGGGACAGGCAATCAATACACACACACACACACACCTGCCATTCCAGGCATATACTATACACTCTGAGCAAGATGGACAACCTGAGGGATATCATATCATATTTGGTGTATGACACCATGAATACAGTAGGTGCTCAGTATTTGTTGAAAAGTAGTGTGTCAATGTAATGGAGGCTGGGAAAATTTGGTACAGGCTCTATTTTCTTCCTCTGGAATTATGGAAGAATTATGTCTTCCATCTCCAGACATAATTCCATCACATTTAAAGGCAGTCTCTCTGTCTACTCAAGTTAATCAAGCCTTTTCAATTGGCCCTGCTCAGGACAGCCCCTGGCCTGGTCCCCAAGAGATGCGCAAACGTCATCACAGGAACTGTGCCAGAAAGAACAGCTGTCCCTGCAGCCAAAGAGGTTAGTTGCCAGGGAGGACAGGTCACTGGGGAACTGCAGGACTTAGCACCTGCAGATGGTCCCAAGAGTAAACATGTTTTCCTTACGGCTCAGGTTGCCCCCAGAGAAAGCAGTGCTACATACCAAAGGGGAGTGCCAAGTATGCACATTTAGAGTGTGCCTGTGTGTCTGTGTTGGAGAGGTCTGCTGCAGAGCCCAGGGCATCCCCCAACCCCAGGGCACTGTTGCTCCCAAGTTAGGGAGGGCTAAGTTCAAGAGGACAGGTGGGTCTGAAAGATGCAGAGTCCCAGATGCCAGGGTAGACATACCAGTGCCAGGATGCTGTCAGCATGTTTCTCCAGGGCACGGGGCTGATAGTACGTATCCTGCCAAAACAGATGGCCTCCTTAAGGACCCTGCCCACTGGCAGGTCCTTTCCCTTCCCTTTCAGAAGCCCTGCTGTGTGTCCTCTGGTTCTAGTCTCGTTGACTATCTCTCTTGAAACATCCCTGGCCCCCACAGAAACTCCTCTTCCTCACCCTCACTCTGAACCTAATTTCCCACCCCTGACCATGGGAACAAACACAGGGAGCTGGATTTGGAAGCAAAAGTGAAAGCAGCATTGGACGATTTTTGCTCCTTTTCCACAGCCTAGTTTCAAATGGATTGCAGGCGCGTGCATGTGGGGAGAAGGGTTAGTTTGAGAAGAAAGAAAAGACACCTAGACAATCTAAGAAGGAAAGAAAAGCATCAGAAATAAGAGTAGTTGACTAAGAAGAGAATGTGGGTAGGAGCGGGCAGTTTGTAGGAGACAGTAACACAATGAGACAACTGATAAAAAGGAAGAGAATATTTAGAACAGCCTACCACCACCCGCCAGCTCTCCAGAATACAATGACTCGGGTCTCCAGGCTAGGTTGGGCGGGGGTTGAGGGGAGGACCGACGGATACAGGATCTGTAAAAGTCATTCTGAAATTCAAGGCGAGGGTAAAGGGAAGATAAAAACAGAGCCGGGGGAGGCATGAAGAGGCACTGAAGAAGAGGAAACTGGGAGTCTGACAGCAAAATTCAACGGCTCCCCAGTCCGCGCAGGGTCTCTTCCCGGGACTCAAGACTCAACTGGGACCGGCACGAACCACGACACACAGGGTCGGGGGGACGCGGAGAGGAAAGAACAAAGAGTGGCAGTCGGAATGAGAAAGCGGTAAAGAGCGAAAAAGAAAGGAGGCGGCCAGTCCGTAGGCGTGACTTTAACTCAGGAAGCACACAGAGCGCAGATTTTGCGGATAACTGGCTTGACAAGCAGGCTCCCCTTATTTCCCATTATGGGCACTTCTGGGGAGCAAAAGGCCGTAAAGGGTTTGGACTGTACCACGTTCTTCGGTGGGGAGGAACTCGACTCACCCAGGAGCTGGAATGGGGGGCAGTGACTGCCGTTGGCGTCTCAGGGACGCTGGCCGGGGCCCTTTCAGAGTCCCTCTCCCGGTAGATTTTGTAGAGCCGGGGGCCTAGGACGCAGCTCAGCAGCTTCGCCATGGCCCCGGCTCGGGCCGCTGCTCTTCCAGCAGCAGGTCCCCCTGCCGGCCCCGCCCTCCCTGCCTCTGAGGTGTTGTGTGCCCTTGACGTCAGCCCGTACCGGCTCCGCCTCCGGGCGAGTTGCGACATTTTCAGTGCTTCCTGAGAAGAGTTTCGCGCAGTTGGAGCTACGGGTACAGCAGTGGTCCGAAACTAGTGGAAGACCACTAGAACGCGGAGAATCAGAAAATTACCGGGCATGGTTCAATAATTTTTTTCTGTCTCATTATTGGCAGACTCTAGAGCGACAGCGGAAACGAGGGGTGAGATTAGGAGTACTTGATAAGAGTAACCGAAAACATAAGGTGTCTAGGAATGTATCTAGTACAAGAAATGCAAGGTTTTATGAAGAAAACTATAAAAAGTTATTGAAAAGGCAAACTGGCCCGGCCCGGCGCAGTGGCTCACGCCTGTAGTCCTAGCACTTTGGGAGGCCGAGGCGGGGGGATCACTTGAGGCCAGGAGTTCGAGACCAGCCTGGCCAACATGGTGAAACCCCATCTCTACTAAAAATACAAAAATTAGCCTGGCATGGGTGGTGCGCGCCTGTAATCCCAGCTACTCGGGAGGCCGAGACGCGAGAATCGCTTGAACGCGGGAGGCAGAGGTTGCAGTGAGCCGAGATCTTCCCACTGCACTTCAGCCTTGGTGACAGAGCAAGACTCTGTCTCTAAATAAATAAATAAAGGTAAACTGGCCCAGCGCGGTGGCTCACGCCTGTAATTCCAACACTTTGGGTGGCCGAGGGATGATTGCTTGCGTCCAGGAGTTCCAGGCCATGGCTCATGCCTGTAATTCCAACACTTGGGGTGGCTGAGAGAGGATTGCTTGCGCCCTGGAGTTCCAAGCCAGCCCAGGCAACATAGTGAGACCCCATCTCTACACAAAATACCAAGGGGGAAAAAAAAAAGACCTAGCAGGGTGTGGTGGTGCCCACCTGTAGTCCCAGCTACTTGGGAGGCCAAGGTGGGAGGGTCGCTTGAGCCCGGGAGTTTGAGATCGCTCCATGCACTCCAGCCTGGGTGACAGAGCCAGACCCTGCCTCAAAATAATAACAATAATAATTGAAAAAATAAAAAAAGAAAGAGGTAAACGAAAAGCTTTTCAATAAATGGAAAGCTACACCATGGTCCTGGATACGAAAATTCAGCACAGTAAGATATGCGGAATATTTGTAAAAAGAAAATAAATGAATCATTACTGTTATGCATGAACTGGATCTTAAAACCATGATGCTGAGTGAAAATAGAAAGCCACAGAAGAATGTATACGTGATACTAGTATATTAGATTCAAAAACACATAAAATTTAATGATAAAGCAAGTGGAGAAGAAAGAGAAAATTCAGAATTGTGGTTACACAGCATAGAGGATCTCTGACTGAAACGGAATATTCTTTTTTTCTGTTTTTTTTTTTTTTTTTTTTTGAGACAGGGTCTAGCTCTTTCACCCAGGCTGGAGCACAGTGGCACAATCACGGCTCACTGCCCTGATCCTCCACCTGCTGGGCTCAACCATCTTTCTGCCTCAACCTCCTGAGTAGCTGGGACTATAGGCCCACACCACCATACTCGGCTAATTTTACAAGGTCTCACCATGTTGCCCAGGCTGGTCTCGAACTCCTGGGCTCAAGTGAACCTCCTGCTTTGGCCTCACAGAGTGCTGGGATTACAGGCATGAGCCACTGTGCCTGGCCTGGAATATTCTATTTCTTTTTCTTTTTTTTTTTTCGAGACCGAGTTTCGCTCTTATTGCCCAGGCTGGAGTGCAATGGCCCGATCTCGGCTCACCACAACCTCTGCCTCTGGGGTTCAAGCGATTCTCCTGCCTCAGCCTCCCAAGTAGCTGAGATTACAGGCATGTACCACCATGCCCTGCTAATTTTTTTATTTTTAGTAGAGATGGGGTTTCTCCATGTTGGTCAGGCTGGTCTTGAACTCCTGACCTCAGGTGATCCGCCTGTCTCATCCTCCCAAAGTGGTGGGATTACAGGCATGAGCAACCGAGTCCGGCCTGGAATATTCTATTTATTTATTTATTTATTTATTTATTATTTATTTATTTTTTTGAGACGGAGTCTCGCTCTGTCACCAGGCTGGAGTATAGTGGCATGATCTCTGCTCACCGCAGCCTCTGCCTCCTGAGTTCAAGCGATTCTCCTGCCTCAGCCTCCTGAGTAGCTGGGACTACAGGCATCCACCACCACACTCAGCTAATTTTTGTATTTTTAGTAGAGACAGGGTTTCACCATGTTGGCCAGGATAGTCTCGATCTCTTGACCTCGTGATCCGCCTGCCTCAGCCTCCCAAAGTGCTGGGATTACAGGCGTGAGCCACGGCGTCTGGCCTTTATTTTCAGAGTTGGGGTCTTGCTCTGTTGCCCAACCTCAAACTTCTGGCTTCAATCAACCCTCCCACCTTGGCCTCCAAAAGTGTTAGGATTGTAGACATGAGCCACCATGCCTGGCCAGGCTTCTTTTACTCTCATTATATTGTGAGATTCAACTTTGTTGCAAATCACTAGGTTTGTTCATTCTCATTGCTGTCCAGTCTTCTACTCTGTTAAGCATTTATCCATTATATAGTTGTACTTCATATAGTTTTTGGTATGTATGGAATATTTCATCAAAATAATTTTAAAAATAAATAAATTACACATTAAAACTGTAATAACTGCATGAAGATCTGCCTTAGGAGTTTTTGCCGTTCAGAAGGATGAATCAGCCCGTTAGCCTTGTCCCTGAGTAATAATTTAATACACTTATTAGGGTTTCAGGAGAGGTCCGGGGTATGCCAGACAACCACAGGGAAAGTCATTCCAAATCATTTACGGGACACTGACTCGATACACAGTCTTGTGCTGGGTTCTGTGGAGGACCAACATAAAAACTCAAACTCAGTTTCTTCACTCATAGCTGACATTTCTTTTCTTTTCTTTTCTTTTTCTTTTTTTTTTTTTTTTTTTTTTTTTTTGAGATGAAGTCTCGCTCTGTCTCCCAGGCTGGAGTGCAGTAGCACGATCTCGGCTCACTGCAACCTCCACCTCCCGGGTTCAAGCGATTCTGGTGCCTCTCAGCTTCCTAAGTAGCTGGGATTACAGGCACATGTCACCACGCCTGGCTAATTTTTGTATTTTTTGTAGAGACAGGGTTTCGCCATGTTGGCCACGCTGGTCTCGAACTCCTGACCTCAAGTGATCCACCCAACTCATGGCTGACCTTTCTTAGGAGTGAAAGAGACCTCAGAATGTACTTCCAGACTGACAAGAGCTAGACAGGCAGGACCACTTCTCTGCATGGTTTTTTGCATGGAAAGTCTTTATTTGAGCCCCTTAGCTGATGTGGAATCAGAAGAGCAAAAAGGTCATCTTCAGAGTGGCCTGGGCTGGGTCCTTTTCTCTCCAGGATAGAAAAGTGGTGGTCACTTTATCCCTAGTAGACATGCTGCTGGGCTTTATCGCCCCAGCATTCCCATCCCCTCCAGAGCCCCTTGTCACTCCAGACCAGCGAGTGTGGGCCTTTATCTGGACTCTGCTTCCTCCCTGGGGACACCAGGTCTTGGAGCAAGAGAACTTGGCAGGCTCTCCCCATGGCAGTCTTATTCCTCCTCCTGTTCCTATGTGGAACTCCCCAGGCTGCAGGTAAGGGGCAAGAGGTACGGGATTCCTTAGCTATTTGCAAGGTTGGGGAGGGACTACTGCTCTTTCTCCTAGGAGCCTGGCGAAGGCATCTGACTCAAGAAGATAGAATTACCCCAACCAACCTCCTCCTGCCTCTGACACTAGGGAAGACCCAGAGGCAACGAGGGTCCAGGTTATGCAGTTTCCTTTATAAAATAAGAAGAATGAGTAAATGCTTCCAGAAAAGTAGAAATGAGTAGAAGAGATGTGGGCATTTGCCAACTTTCAGCCTTTTCCCTCTTGCCCTCAGACCCCCTCACTGGCTGGGGGAGAGAGGAGGAAAGCCCTTACCCTCTTCTCTCCACCTGTCTTATTTTTGTAGCTGTCACTTGAGAAATGTGGTCACCAGCCAGGCCTGTGCTGGGGGACCCCAGAAGGGAAGGAAGCCAGGGTTGAAGATCAAATGGGGGGTTATTGATCTGATGGAGGTCTCTGGCCTCATACAACCCTCTTCCCACAGACAACATGCAGGCCATCTATGTGGCCTTGGGGGAGGCAGTAGAGCTGCCATGTCCCTCACCACCTACTCTACATGGGGACGAACACCTGTCATGGTTCTGCAGCCCTGCAGCAGGCTCCTTCACCACCCTGGTAGCCCAAGTCCAAGTGGGCAGGCCAGCCCCAGACCCTGGAAAACCAGGAAGGGAATCCAGGCTCAGACTGCTGGGGAACTATTCTTTGTGGTTGGAGGGATCCAAAGAGGAAGATGCCGGGCGGTACTGGTGCGCTGTGCTAGGTCAGCACCACAACTACCAGAACTGGAGGGTGTACGACGTCTTGGTGCTCAAAGGTGAGTGGGGGCATGCAGACCAGGGGCTACTGTGGCCCAGGAAGTCCAGGTGAAGAACTGAGGAATCCCTCTCTCCCCTACAGGATCCCAGTTATCTGCAAGGGCTGCAGATGGATCCCCCTGCAATGTCCTCCTGTGCTCTGTGGTCCCCAGCAGACGCATGGACTCTGTGACCTGGCAGGAAGGGAAGGGTCCCGTGAGGGGCCGTGTTCAGTCCTTCTGGGGCAGTGAGGCTGCCCTGCTCTTGGTGTGTCCTGGGGAGGGGCTTTCTGAGCCCAGGAGCCGAAGACCAAGAATCATCCGCTGCCTCATGACTCACAACAAAGGGGTCAGCTTTAGCCTGGCAGGTAAACTGAGGAAGGAGACGGAAAGGGATGTTCTTTCACTTCAGCCTCCCAAGTAGCTGGAATTACAGGCGCCCGCCACCATGCCTGGATAATTTTTTGTACTTTTAGTAGAGACGAGATTTCACCATTTTGGCCAGGCTGGTATCAACCTCCTGACTTCTAGTGATCTGCCTGCCTCAGTCTCCCAAAGTGCTGGGATTATAGGCATGAGCCACCGCACCTTTAAATTTTTTGTAGAGACAGGATCTTGCTATGTTGCCCAGTCTGGTCTCAAACTACTGGCCTCAAATGATCCTCCTATCTTGGTCTCCCAAAGTGCTGGGGTTACAGGCATGAGCCATCACATCTGGCTATTTTTTCTTGAAAGAAAGGGTGAATTACTATAAAGGGTGTGAGGGGAAAGTGTGGTTATGGCTGGTGGTCTGCTCTGTAGTTGGTTGCCCATGCGTGAGCAGGGGGCATTGCCATTCTCTACTTTTTATTTTATTTTATTTTATTTTATTATTATTAGGCCAGGCATGGTAGCTCAATCCTGTAATCCCAGCACTTTGGGAGGCCGAAGCAGGCGGATCACTTGAGGTTGGGAGTTCAAGACCAGCCTGACTAACATGGAGAAATTCTGTCTCTACTAAAAATACAAAATTAGCCGGGTATGGTGGCACATGCCTCTAACCCCAGCTACTCGGGAGGCTGAGGCAGGAGAATCACTTGAACCTGGGAGGTGGAGGGTGCAGTGAGCCAAGATCACGCCATTGCACTCCAGCCTGGGCAACAAGAGCGAAGCTCTATCTCAAAAAAAAAATTGTATTTTTAGTAGAGACGGGGTTTCACCATGTTGGCCAGGATGGCCTTGATCTCTTGACCTCATGATCTGCCTGCCTCAGTCTCCCAAAGTGTTAGGATTATAGGTGTGAGCCACCACGCCTGGCCTTTTTTTTTTTTTTTTTTTTTTTTTTGGGATGGAGACTTGTTCTGTTGGCCAGGCTGGAATGCAGTGGCACGATCTTGGCTCACTGCAACCTCTGCCTCTTGGGTTCAAGCTATTCTCCCATCTCAGCCTCCTGAGTAGCTGGACTACAGGTGCCTGCCACCACGCCTGGCTAACTTTTGTGTGTGTGTGTGTGTTTTTTTTTGTTTTTTTTTTGAGACAGAGTCTCTCTCTGTCGCCAGGCTGGAGTGCAGTGGCGCAATCCCGGCTCACTGCAACCTCTGACTCCCTGGTTCAAGTGATTCTCCTGCCTCAGCCTCTCGAGTAGCTAGGATTACAGGCATATGCCACCACGTCCAGCTAATTTTTGTATTTTTAGTGGAGCCGGGGTTTCACCATGTTGGCCAGGATAGTCTCAATCTCCTGACCTCGTGATCTGCCCGCCTTGGTCTCCCAAAGTGCTGGGATTACAGGTGTGAGCCACAGCGCCCGGCCTCTTTTTTGTGTTTTTAGTAGAGATGGGGTTTCACCATGTTGGTCAGGCTGGTCTCGACCTCCTGACCTCAGGTGATCCACCCACCTCGGCCTCCCAAAGTGCTGGGATTACAGGTGTGAACCACTGCGCCTGGCCTCAATTTTTATACTTTCAGTAGAGATGAGGTTTCATCATGTTGACCAGGCTGGTCTTGAACTCCTGACCTCAAGTGGTCTGCTCGCCTTGGCCTCCTAATGTGCTGGAATTACAGGCATGAGCCACTGTGCCTGGCCGCCATTCTCTATGGGTCAGGGTGAGAGGCCTGGAAAGGGGCAGAGTAGGGTGGAGGATATTGTGGGCAGGGAAGCTTACAAAGTCTTCTGTTGGAAGAGCCCACCAGACTGTGGAGGGGAAGCCTCTCTTTGGGGCACAGGGACAGGGCCCCTCACTACCTCCCTCCCATCCCTCTGGTCTGGCCCTTACTACAGCCTCCATCGATGCTTCTCCTGCCCTCTGTGCCCCTTCCACGGGCTGGGACATGCCTTGGATTCTGATGCTGCTGCTCACAATGGGCCAGGGAGTTGTCATCCTGGCCCTCAGCATCGTGCTCTGGAGGCAGAGGGTCCGTGGGGCTCCAGGCAGAGGTGAGTCCCTCCCTCCCCGGGGAAAGAAGAGGGCACATGGGTGGGAGGCAAAGGGCTAGGCTCACACCCCGCCTCTGTACCCCACCTCCTCTAGGGGAGGGGGCGAGGAACACGGCTCTAAGTTGTCTGCTGACTTCTCTTCTGTATCCCTGATGGCTCCTTCTCCCCAGATGCCTCGATTCCTCAGTTCAAACCCGAAATCCAGGTCTATGAGAACATCCATTTGGCCCGTCTTGGGTGAGGAACAGCTAGGGAACAGAGGCTTAAATCCTGGAGGGGACTGGGGATGGAGAGGAAACACGGGTTGGGTTGGGGATGGGCCCTCGTTCCTGAGGATGTGAAAAGTAGAGGTATCCTTAATCTGTCTCTCTGGAAAACCCCACAGCCCACCTGCCCACAAGCCCAGGTGATTTTGGTGACATCTGCTGGGAAGTGTGACCTGCTGTCTCGCTGGCCATCTGGCACCTGGAAGATTCCTCGACAACCTTAGCAAGGGGGGCGGGACTGAGAGTTCGACTTCACCATCCAGCTGGCCTCCAGCAGCCACCAAGCTGTGTATGGGGAGGGGTGGGGGACTGAAGGAAAGGAGGAGCATTATTCTGTGATGTAACCTACAAAAAGGTTTGGTCTCCTGTCTTGTAGCAGCAGTGGAGGGATGGCCCTGAGCCCATAGTACTGTGGGGTTGAGGGGAGCCTGAGGTTGCTGGTGGGGGCAAGGAGGATGGGTGTGCACAGGGAGGAGACAGGAATCTGGAGACTTGAGCAATGGTGAGGAATCCATTGCAGTGGAGCTGAAGGACAAATGGGGAAAACGGGGGAAGAGAGAGAAGGGAAGAGACTCAAGTCAGAGAAAGTGGAAAGAGATGGACAGAGGGAGAAAAATAGAAGCACAAAGTGGGAGGATGGAGGGACAGAGAAAATGGAAAGCCTCAACCCATCTCTAAATTAAGCCAGACCCCCACTACCCCATGTCTCATCCTCACAAAGAAGAGAGGGAACAGGCATATTTAATCAACCCCAGACTTCCTCACATGCAAGGGGAGGGAACTGAGTCAGGATAGAGATGCCTGTGCTCAGCTCCCACCCGGGGCCCCCTCCTTATCCTTCCTTATCCTAGGCACACACTCTTCCCTGTGGCGCCTTACCGGGGCATTCAGAGCATGTGAGCAGCTATCGCCACTCTGGCACTTCCTTCCTGCTGCCCTGAGGTCACACCCTATTTCTCGGGGGCAGAGGGAGTGTCTACTCAGGCTGGCAGGCCCAGTGGGGGTATGTTATTTATTGGGCCGGGGCCATGCTGGGATGTCTGTGAACCATGGGCGAGTCTGGGCTGGTGAAGCGAGGGAGGATATTGATGCTCCCAACTTGGCCATTCCCTAGTCTCAGGCAGAAATGAGCTGAGCTCCAGCCACACCCTCACAAGCAGCTCCACTGGGTGCCCTTTTGTGTCTCTGCTCAAGCTTGGGCCTTACTGGAAAAAAGCTTTCTCAGAAGTCTCACCTAAAGGCTTCAGGCTGCAGGGGCTTAAACTAAGCCATTGGCAAGAAAAAGGACGAAAATGACACAGATGGAGAATGAGGGGAGTGCCGTGGTCCAGGTTCCAGCTCCAGCCCAACCCACCAAGCAGCTACAGTTTGCTCTTAGAGCACACACACACAGACACACACACACACACACACACACACACACACACACACACACTGCAGTATCTGCAGTATTACTGGACTCCTAGATAGACCTTTTATTAAAGGTACTCTTCATAGTCCCCCAAGCCCTCCATCCTGAGTTCCCGACCTACCACATTAGTCTTTCCTAGCAAGACTCTCCTCCTTACCATACCTGATGCTCCTTTGATCCCCTTGCCTGAGATCCACAGTGTCATCAAAATGCCTGCCTTGCCAGTGACCTGGGCTGACACGGGGCATCAGCAATGGGCATCTAGAAAAGACAAAAGACGCAGAATAGGTGTTCTTTATGAGGTTGGACTCTGGGCAGGTGCCTCCCCAGGCCTTGTGAGGGGTCTGTGAGGGGTCTGCTGAGAGATCTGGGGTCTCTGTACAAAATTAGGTTCTCGGGCATGTCTCAAAGTGTCTGTGCAGGTGTTTCCAGGGCCGCAGTGATGGCGGGGGGTATCCTGGGTTGGGGGCTGCAGATCCACGGAAGCTAGTGGAGGAGGTGTCCTCTCCCAGCGAAGCTGGCCACAAAGAGGGGCAGGGAGGCGAGGAGGCTGGTGAGCTGCTGTGGGGAAGCGGCTATGTTGCACAGGTCCTGCTCGCAGCAGTGGTGCCACAGAGTGTAGGAGTGCAGCCAGTAGGTGGCATAGCCTGGCAGAGGGCACTGGGCCCTTGAGAGGCAGCTTTTTCACTCAGTGATCTCACTCTGGTCTGTGGGATGAAAGAGGCATGCTGAGGCGGGGGCCACAGGAAAGGCCGGATGGATGGAGGTAGGGAGCCTCCTGGAGAAGGGCCATTGGACCAGAGTCCTACCTGAAGTGCCAATACTGATGCCACAAGCTTCATCGTCCCGACACTCGGTGGGAACAGGGTGGCAGGGTTTGGTGAAGCCACAGATGTAGCAGCGGAGCCTTCCCCGGGCAGGGGACATGGTGAGACCTGTTGAGGCAGCAGAGATTAGGAGAGCAGGAGAGGCAAACCCTCCCTGTGGGGCAGGCAGAGGCCAGATCCGGAGAGGGATCACAGAGAGAGGTGACACATGAAGCAGAGAGAGGAAAGCTGTGGAATAAGGGAGGAAAGCTGACAGAAGTAGAAAAAATAGCTGGGCGCAGTGGCTCACGCCTGTAATCCCAGCACGTTGGGAGGCCGAGGCGGGCTGATCATGAGGTCAGAAGATTGAGACCATCCTGGCTAACACAGTGAAACCCCGTCTCTACTAAAAATACAAAAAATTAGCCGGGCATGGTGGCACATGCCTCTAGTCCCAGCTACTTGGGAGGCTGAGGCAGGAGAATCTCTTGAATCTGGGTGGCTGAGGTTGCAGTGAGCCGAGATCATGCCACTGCACTCCAGCCTGGGTGACAGAACGAGACTCTGTCTCAAAAAAAAAGAGGGAGACGATGCAGGAAAAGAAACAGAGATGGAGGCAAGAGGGGTACAGGGATTGAGAGATGCGCAGACATGAACAGAAGCCACAAGAATCAGAGACCAACATAAAAAGAGTGAGACAAAAAGCCAGACCCAGCAGCAGGGAAGTTGAGGGGGTCAGTGAAAAAGTTAAGTAAATGGCACCAGAGACAGATAGGAAAATAGAAATTGACATTGACCAAAGGGCCCAGCACAGAAGCAACACGTGAAATAAGGGATAGGGGAGACAGGGGCGGATCAAAGATGCAGCAAGGGGGAGACAGTTATTCTCAAATGCCTTGAAAGGAAACTCTTCCTTTCCCACCTCATCAGGCTGGCCTTCCCAGTGGCTGGTCTCCCTGAAGTCCCCCACTCCCCCAGCTCTCTTCTTGGCCTCTTCCAGCACCCACACCCCTCTCCTCCCCAGCCCTCAGGTTCCTCCACATGCCCTTGTCCCCACCCCCAGCCCCCTGACCACTGAAGGTTCCCCAGCCCACCCTTACCCAGTGCCCCACAGAGGAACAGCACGCAGAGGAAGATGCTGGAGGTGCCCATGGCCAGACACAGGCTCAGGAATCTGGGAGAGGTGATCTGCACCCCGAGATCCCGGGATTTGTAGAGTTGGAGCATTTGAGCAAGACAGTGAGGAACCAGTAAACAAACACACCTAGGGAGTGAATCTGGGGGGCGGAACCATGACCAGATTCACCAGCCTGACCCAGCAGGCAGCGGGGGCCCCCAGCCTGCCCCTGCAAGGAGTCTGCCCTTGCCTGGAGGGTCTCCTCTGCTCTCTCAGCATGTTGTCTCTGTAACTTAGCTTCCTCTCCTGCTCCTGAGTTGTGTCTGTCGCCTTCCCTCCTACTCCTCCCCCTCCCTCCCCATGTCTCAAGCTGCTCCCTGGCTCTCTCAGCTTCTCTCTGTCTTTGTTTTCTCTGTCTTTCCCCCTCAGTGCTTTCATGTCTCTCAAAGTCACCCTCCTAAACAGCCCCGGCGTAGATCTGTTTGAGTGTAGAATCAACAATACCCCCACCCACACACCCACATGCACACACAAAGCCCAGCTGTGTAAGGGCGGACCCCACCCAGCTTCAGATCCCTTTGATCCCCCCAAGCTTCAACATTCCTACCCTGTAATTATCCCTGCCAGCTTTACTACCTTGGAGGAAAGAAATAACCACGGGTGGGGCTGGAGGGCCTGCTGATGTGCTTGCACTGGGGAGAAATCACTAGAAAGGAAGGCATGGATGGGATTTGGGGTAGGGGGGTGGTGATACAGCCTGGAAGGCTGGGGTTGAAGAGACTGGGAAGGAGGAAGGCCCATCTGGGGAATCAGAGCCAGCATGTACCAGGAGGAGTAAGACTAGGAACAGGGAGTGAAGATAGGGGAGACACAGGTGCCCAGGAGAGCAGCTCTTTTCAAAAATATTGATCTCAGGACCTCTTTACACTTTTCAAAGTTACTTAAGACTCTGAAGAGCTTTTCTTTATGAGGTTATATCAATATTTACTACATTAAAAATTAAAACAGAAAATTTAAAGTAGGTATTTATTGATTTATTTAAACAATAAAAATAATAAAGTATTACATGCTAACAAAATACAGTTTTGTGAAAAATAACTATTATTTCTCCACAGCACAGTGAGAAGCTGAGCATTGCTTTACATTTTTGTGAATCTAGTGTCAGGCTTCGTGGGAGATGCCTGGGTTTTCCTATCTGCTTCTGCATTCAGTCTGTTGGGATATGTTGTTTTCGTTGAAGTCCAGTATATGAAGAAAATCTGACCTTACACAGATAGTTGCAAAAGGAGGACCCTCAAGGACCCTGTGAAAGGGTATCAGGGATCCTCAGGGGTTCTTGTTGGTCCACAGACTGCTGCTGAGGATAAAGGAGTTTGAGGACTCCAGAGGATGCTGAGAGCATGCTGTGGGGCCCCTCCCTGTCCCCACTGGGGCCCTTGGTGCCTGCTGGGGGAGACTCTTTCTTCCTTTTTTATAGCCCTATAAAGCTCAAGGCACGGGGGATATAAGGCAGGCAGAGCCGGGCTGGGGAGGGGGGTGGGCAGGAGGTAGAGGCGGTCCTGACACGGGCAGACTGCGATGAAACCCCAGTTTGTTGGGATCTTGCTCAGCTCCCTGCTAGGGGCTGCCTTGGGTAAGGAGGCGGCCAGCTAGCTTCTCACACAGGCCTTCTGCCAGCCGGCTCCACCGAGGGCCCAGGTCCAGCGCCTCTTTTCTCCTGCCAGGAAACCGAATGCGGTGCTACAACTGTGGTGGAAGCCCCAGCAGTTCTTGCAAAGAGGCCGTGACCACCTGTGGCGAGGGCAGACCCCAGCCAGGCCTGGAACAGATCAAGCTACCTGGAAACCGTGAGTCCTCAGTTTCTCCCTCTTCCAGCAGCCTTTCCCTGCCTCCAGCCCCATGTCAATCCTTCTGGCTTCCAGAACCCTCCAGGCTCAGTCTGGCTCTGGGCAGATGGTGCAGCTGTTAGAGGAGAGCAGTCTGTACCCCTTCTGGCTCCTGGCACGGAGCCCCTGAGAGGCCCACAGTCCTTGTGCCCCCACTTCCCCACCTCCTTATTCTCCTAAAAGAATCTCATAGGCCCATTAGCTCACAAATGAAGAGCTCTGGCCCTGAAAGGCCAAAGTTAAAACCAAACTTCAAATTTTCGGCATTAGTTAAGGACCAGGGAGGGGTGTGTGTGTGTGTGTGTGTGTGTGTGTGTGTGTGTGTACATGTTTTTAATATTTTATTTTAACATAATTTTGGATTGACAGAAAAGTTGCAGAAATACTCAACTTCTCCTAATGCTAACATCTTACATAACCATAGCACAATTATCAAAATCACAAAATAACTGATACAATACTACTAACTAATCTACAGACTTTATTTGATTTAGCAAGATCCTACATTGCATTTAGCTCTCATGTCTTCTTAGTCTCCTCTGATCTGTGCCAGTTCTGTTTTTCTTTGTCTTTCATGACCCTGACACATTTGAAGAGCCCTGATAAATTATTTTATACCTGGAGTTTAAAAAATTACTTTTAGGGCCAGTGCAGTCACTCGCACCTGTAATCCCAGCACTTTAGGAGGCCAAGGTGGGAGGACCACTTGAGCCCAAGAGTTGAGACCAGCCTGGGCAACATAGGGAGACCCTGTCTCTACAAAAAACAAACAAACAAACAAACAAACAGATTAAAAAATTAGTTGGGTGTGGTGGCACATGCTTGTAGTCCTAGCTACTCAGGGGGCTGAAGAGGGAGGATCGCTTGAGCCTGGGAGATTGAAGCTACAATGAGCCATGATCACGCCACTACACTCCAGCCTGGGGAACAAAATGAGACCCTGTCTCAAAAATAATAATAATAATAATTTTTAGGCTAGGCTTGGTGGCACACACTTGTAATCCCAGCACTTTGGGAGGCCAAGGCTGAAGAGTCACCTGAGGTCAGGAGTTTGACACCAGCCTGGGCAGCAAAGTGAGACCCCCATCTCTACAAAAAATGTTTTTAAAAAATTAGCCAGGCATAGTGGCACACACCTGTAATCTCAGTTTCCTGAGAGGCTGAGGCAGGAGGATTACTTGAGCCCAGGAGTTTGAGGCTATAGGGAGGTATGATTGCACCACCACACTCCAGCCTGAGTGAGAGAGCAAGATCTTTTCTCTAAAATTAAATAAAATCATTTTTAGATTAAACAAAAATTACGTGCCGGATGCAGTGGCTCACGCCTGTAATCCCAGCACTTTGGGAGGCCAAGGCGGGTGGATAACCTGAGGTCGGGAGTTCAAGACCAGCCTGATCAATGTGGAGAAATCTCGTCTCTACTAAAAATACAAAATTAGCCGGGTGTAGTGGTGCCCGCCTGTAATACCAGCTACTCGGGAACCTGAGGCAGGAGAATTGCTTGAACCCAAGAGGTGGAGGTCGCGGTGAGCCGAGATCACACCATTGCACTCCAGCTGGGCAATAAGAGTGAAACTCCGTCTCAAAAAAAAAAAAAAAATTACAGATACTTGAAATACTAAAAATTATTTTATAGAATGTCCCTCGATATTTATTTATCTGATATTTGCCATGATGAGATTGAGGTCATGCATTTTAAGCAAGAATACTGCAGAAGTGATGTTGCATCCTTCTTGCTGCATCACATCAGGAGTTTACAAGGTCAATGCATTAACTTTGATCACTTGGTTTCAGGGAGGTGTTTTTTGAGGGGGCTGAAAATCCCTTTGGGCTCCTTGAAATCACATCTGCTCTGCCCCAGAAGGCAAGTCCTGAAGCCAGGAGTCCAACACCCCAGTTTCATTCTCTCTCTCAGCCCCAGTGACCTTGATTCACCAACATCCAGCCTGCGTCGCAGCCCATCATTGCAATCAAGTGGAGACAGAGTCGGTGGGAGACGTGACTTATCCAGCCCACAGGGACTGCTACCTGGGAGACCTGTGCAACAGCGCCGTGGCAAGCCATGTGGCCCCTGCAGGCATTTTGGCTGCAGCAGCTACCGCCCTGACCTGTCTCTTGCCAGGACTGTGGAGCGGATAGGGGGAGTAGGAGTAGAGAAGGGAACAAGGGAGCAAGGGAACAAGGGACATCTGAACATCTAATGTGAGAAGACAAACATCCTTCTGTGAGTCATTAAAATCTATGAACCACTCTACAGCTGACTGGAAAATTACATCTATCTTTGGTTGATGGGAGGGCTAAAAGCGTAATATGGGGCATCCAGGTTCTAGTTTGGGGGTTACCAAGCAACAGCGGGCTTAATTACAGTGGTGCACTCCTTAACCAACTAAACCCCAAAGGGCAATGGCTTATCTGCCTTCTGTGGCTCCTGGATCCTGTTGCTGGGTTGAATCTTCCTTAGCAATGAGATTCATTGAGTGGGGTTGCCAGGGTTTTGTGAGCCTGAGTCTGGGTTTGCTCCCCTATTTCCCATTTGCAAGTTGGCTCCCAATAGGACTATTTTGAATTGAGAAAAGAAATGTAAAAACTGTGATAGGTAAAAACTGCTTGATGCCCTACTTACTAACTAGGCTAGGTGAGGCCTTTGACTCTAACCTGAGAGAAACTGAAGAAACAGGGTCTCAGGCCCCATCTCCATGTACCTCTCCTATCCTTTCTGGAGAGCCCTCAAGCCAGGCCGCACCTTCTTCTTGGCAATACATCAGGGGTGTGGCCTAAATTTAGGATATGAGTTGTTGTGTGCCACCTGGAGACACTGGAAGGGAGGATGAAGACCTGAAAAACCTGTTTCTCCATTTTCCCCAGCCCAGCCTCCCAGGGAACCTCCCTGAAGGATTCCTGTGTAAGGGAGGGAGATTGAGAGTATTATTTCCTGGGAGGTGACCTGACCCTTAGGTCTTCTTATAATAAATGTACATTTTATCAGACTCAGACATTTATTACTCAAAATGGAAAGAGGTGAGTATGGGGGATGGGGTACATATGGGAGCCTGGGTTTGGGGAGTCAGCTCTGTACAGTGAGGTCATCAGGTCCTTGTGGGAGCCTTCACTGGGGACAACACAGAAGCCCCATTTCAGGCCCAGATCCCAATCCCTCCTCAAGTAGGGGACAGCAGAGTATAGGAAGCAAAGTGGGGAGCCCTTCTAGGAGCCAATGGAGGTCCTGGAAGGAAGTGGGAAGGGACCCAGAAAAAGGAGAGTGAAGGGTGTGAGGTGGGAAGGATGGATGAGGAGACCACTCGGAACAGTGTTTAATTAAAGAAATGGGAGCTAGGGAGAGACGATTCTGTAAAGCCAGGGGATACAGAGACACAGGGAGAGAGGCTCAGGCCAAGGCAGGTGGGAGGAGGGGCAGCCAATGGAATGAGTCTCAGTGCAGCAGCCAGAGGCCAAGGCCAGCCAAGGAGGTAAGGAAGACAAGGCCCAGGGCTGGAGTGGGCCGGGGTCCTGCGCTGTTGCAGTTGTCCTTGTTGCAGCAGGTGGTGTTATATGTCAGACCCAGCTTGCGGTTGGTTTGGTTGAAGGCCTCCTGACAGGGCTCTTCTGGTGTGCCACAGCGCAGATTGGAGAAAACCCACATCTTACCTAGGGGTGGGAATGGGCAGGGAATCGGCCAGGATGGGCACCTGGCATGCCTGTGTCCACCTCCCCACCCCATCCACCCACCTAGGCTTCCTTCCTTCCCAACTCTGTCCCTGGCCC
Organism: Homo sapiens; assembly: GCF_000001405.40. NCBI lineage: Eukaryota > Metazoa > Chordata > Mammalia > Primates > Hominidae > Homo > Homo sapiens. The sequence continues at coordinate 3,061,303 of NT_167247.2, forward strand.
TCCCCTTCTCTTTTCTTAGTCTGATCTTCCTTCTGCACATCCTTACCCACCACTCCCCCAGTCCTGGTTCTATCACTTGCTGGCCATGGACCTGTTACTGTCTCTGTTTTTTGTTTTTTTGTTTTTTCCAAGACAGAGTCTCACTCTCGCCCAGGCTGGAGTGCAGTGGTGCCATCTCAGCTCACTGCAACCTCCGCCTCCCAGGTTCAAGCGATTCTCCTGCCTCAGCCTCCCGAGTAGCTGGGATTACAGGCGCCCACTACCATGCCTGGCTAATTTTTGTATATTTAGTAGAAATGGGGTTTCACCATGTTGGCCAGGCTGGTCTTGAACTCCTGACCTCAAGTGATCCAACCACCTTGGCCTCCCAAAGTGCTGGGATTACAGGCATGAGCCACCATGCCCGGCTGTGTTACTGTCTCTTTTTGAGGCCGTTTTCTCAGTATAATAATAGCACCCACATCACAGGGTTGTCATGAACATTAATTGAAAAAAAGGCATGCAAAGACATAGGATGTTGCCTGGCACACAACCATCTTTGGCCAAATATTATCATTGCTATAATCCTCTGCTTCTCCATCTCAGTCTTAGACCCATTTGGGCCTCAGTCCTGGTCATAGAGGCTCCCACCTCCCTGTTCACCCCACTAAGGAAGGGGATGTTACCAAGGTATGCATGTGTTGTCAGGCATTGCTGTCCTGGCTCCAGGCGGCAGGACTGCCGGTCCACACAGCCCAGCACAGGGACCTTGTAGCAGGAGTGACAGCGAATGTCAGCTGGGAAGACACAAGTCAGGCTGAGGTGATGGGGTCTCTGACTTACCTGGGGATAAGCTGAGCTGGGGGCAGGGGTGGAGGGTGGAGAAGAGCCCATCCCGTAGGTGCTCCAACCTGTTTGGCTGTTTGGTCTAGCAAGCACAGAGCAGGTGAGTGATGCAGGGAAAATGGAAAGTGGGCGGCAGGTAAGGGTAGAGCTGTTGCTTTGTGAAAGGCCCACGCCCTACATATCTTCCATCACTCCACCCCGTTTGGAGGTGAGTCAAGAGGGACAGAACTATGAAGAAAAACATGGGGCTGGAGATAGATGGAATGTGAGGAAGATACCATGGGGAAAGAATGTGGATGGTGAAGGAGGAGATGGAAACTTGAAAGAAGGAGAAATAATAAAAATGAAAATCATGAGGGTTACAACACTGTCAGAAATGCCTTGGAACTTGAGGCTGGCGAGAAAGCCATCTGTGGCCAGCTTTAGCAATTTACAATTTACTCTTCACCTCCTGGAGCTGGCAAGAGTGTGGCAAGAGGAACCAGACCAGAATAGAATCCTCTCACCCCAGTAGCTCTTCAGCAGAAAGGAATGATACCTGAGAGACAGATCACCAGATTCCATCTTAGCACCTTATCAAAATGGAGAGGGTGGATACAGAAGGTGGCACCCCAAGTTTCCTGCTTCAGTTAATTCAAGGTTTGGGCAGGCAAGATTTGGTGACGCAGGGTCCGAGGGTGGAAGAGCCTGGTAAGTGTACCTCAGTGAAATCCACTTCACCCTGGAGGTAAGTGGCCCAGTTGTCCCCTCTTCAGAAGGCTCAAGAAAACGCTCTGTTTCCATGGAGGCTCTTAGATGTCACTGCAACCATCTAGAAAGTTTGTATCCCCTGTATGGGAGGAGGTATGCAACCCAGGAGGGGAGTAGGGGGTATCTAGGAAAGGCCATGGCTGAGAGACTGAACATGTGAGTCCCTGATGGAGTAGATGGGGAGGGTAGGTTACAAAAGGAGCCTGGGGCTGGATGCCTAGGTCTTCGAGAGGACACCTTACTGAGCACAGCAGATAGAGGAGAAGGCAGGTAAGCTAGACTCTGGAGAGTTGCATATTGAAGTGGGGCTGGTTGGGGAACTGGATACCAGAGTTTCCAAGGAGGAGACACCTTGGAGTGGGGAACAGGGGACCCAGAGCCCTGGCAGGTGAGAGAAATGGGTCTTTCTTGGAGGTGGGGAGGATGGATGGAGACCTGGCTTTTTGAGAAATAGAGCAAGGAGGCTGTCATAGGGAAGCCTGGTCTTGGTGGCACAGGAGAGCTGAGCCAGTTGGGGCTGGGGGTGTTGGGATCCCGAGTGGTGGGTAGGGCCGGGAAGTGGGTAGAGCAGGGTGTAAAGGTCCTGACCAGGCAAACCAGGTCTTTGGGGCCCCCAGGTGCTCACCTGAGACCCAGCAGAGCAGAACAGACAGGGTGAGCAGCATAAGGGCTTTCATGGCGAGGGTCCTGAGAATGGTGGCAACCACAGCAGCTGATAGAGTAGATTTTCAAGGATCCAGCTCTAGGAGTTGAGTGGCCTTTTTGGAATTTATAAACCCAAAGGCTCCTCCCTTCCCTGCCTCTGGTAGCCCCTCCCTTCTCACTTACTACGCAGCTGACCAGAGAAAAGACAAGGGGTGGGAAGGCACTGAGCAGGACTGAGTGGGGAGTAGGGATGGGAGAGAGGGATGGGGGAAGGCAGGTGCCACTAGTGGCCAATGCCATTGTGGTTCTTGGTTTCAGGCCAAGATGCCCTTCCTGGTCCCCAGCTAAGAGTCCTGCTGCTCAGTCCTCTGAATGAGCATCATCAAAGGCCTCTGTGATTTACAGTGTCCATGGTGGCAGCTTCTGCTGGTTCCTGGAAAATGGACAAAAGGATGTGGCCCAAATTAATTGCTGAATTTGGGTCCCTGGGTCCCTGCTGGGCATTGATAGGGGCATGCTGGTGGAAATTGGGGGAGGAATGGGTCAAATTAATCTCCATTCAGCCCCCACTCGGTCTTTCCAATGCCTGCTCAGCAATAAGTGACTCACTGATGGCTTCTGTGATGCCACAGCAGCAGAGGCAGGGGCTGGGGCTACTCATCCAGGAGAGCCACCACAGGTCTGCTAAGTAGGGCTGCCTCAGGCTCCCATGAAGGTTCTCAGGATGTCACCCGTGCTCCACTTGCGCTTGGTGTGGCCTTGTTGCTCCAGTCCAGCAGCAGCAATTGTCCTAGGTGTGGCTGTGTGCACCTGCTCCAAAGCACCTCCCCAGTCAAAACCTGCCAACTTGGGCAGGGTACCAAGCCAGGAGGAACAGCATGGGCACAGAGAGGTGAGGTAGAAGCTAAAATAAGAATAGAAATAGTAGGCCGGGTGTGGTGGCTCACACCTGTAATCTCAGCACTTTGGGAGGCCGAGGTGGGTGGATCACAAGGTCAAGAGATCGAGACCATCCTGGCCAACATGGTGAAACCCCATCTCTACTGAAAATACAAAAATTAGTCAGGTGTGGTGGCATGCACCTGTAGTTCCAGCTACTCAGGAGGCTGAGACAGGAGACTCACTTGAATCCAGGAGCCGGAGGCTGCAGTGAGTCGAGATTGCACTCCAGCCTGGCCACAGAGCAAGACTCTGACTCAAAAAAAAAAAAAAAAAAAAGAATAGAAATAGTAATAATAATGGCAAGCACTTACATAGTGATCCTATGTATTCTAAGCAGTTTACATGTATTACTTTATTTCGTTATCACAATCCCCTACAAAACAGGAGTTTTTGTTGTTGTTGTTTTTGAGACAGGGTCTGGCTGGCTCTGTCGCCCAGGCTGGAGTGCAATGGCCTGATCACAGTTCACTGCAACCTCGACCTCCTGAGCTCAAGCGATCCTCCCTCCTCAGCCTCCTAAGTAGCTGGGATTACAGGCGCACCTGAAAAGTTAAGCAGGCCAAAGCATTTGTGTAAATGGCCCGAGCACACATTTTAAGTGAGAACCATTTGAAGACTCCGAGTTTGCCTGCGAGGATTCCCAAAGGGATCTGGGCAGCTGGTGGCCCCGCCCCCTCTCTTATCGGAGCCCCCCAGCCCCTCCGTTCTCCCCACGCCTAACTTCCCTCCGGTCCCCCCCCAACCGGCCCCACGCCGCTGATTCGCTCGCAGCTTCTCCTCACCACATCCTAACCATGGCTGTGTTTCTGCAGCTGCTACCGCTGCTGCTCTCGAGGGCCCAAGGGAACCCTGGGGGTAAGCGATCCCTGGGAGAGTTGTGATAGACGCAGAGGGGCTGAAGCAAGATAAGGGCCGCCTAGTAGGGTGGGTTGTGTGTGGGAAGATCCAGGATGGCTGGAGTGCAGAACAGAGAAGAGAAAGAGGAGACGGGATGGAGGGTCGTCTTGCCCTGTGGACGTGCCCTAACCACAGCCTCCGGCCTCTCCTAGCTTCTCTGGACGGCCGCCCTGGGGACCGGGTGAATCTCTCCTGCGGAGGAGTCTCTCATCCCATCCGCTGGGTCTGGGCACCCAGCTTCCCGGCCTGCAAGGGCCTGTCCAAAGGACGCCGACCGATCCTGTGGGCCTCTTCGAGCGGGACCCCCACCGTGCCTCCCCTCCAGCCTTTCGTCGGCCGCCTACGCTCCCTGGACTCTGGTATCCGGCGGCTGGAGCTCCTCTTGAGCGCGGGGGACTCGGGCACTTTTTTCTGCAAGGGCCGCCACGAGGACGAGAGCCGTACAGTGCTTCACGTGCTGGGGGACAGGACCTATTGCAAGGCCCCCGGGCCTACCCATGGTAGGTGCAGGCCTGTGCGCACAAGGGTACTTAACTCCGACACATACCCGGAGGAGGGAAGAGGGCCTTGGCTGGGGGTTCTTGAGCGGGACTGCTGGCTGTCCCTCGTCAAACCCCTGACCTCAGCATCCCTCCCCGCCACGCCTTTCCCCCAGGGTCCGTGTATCCCCAGCTCCTGATCCCGCTGCTGGGCGCTGGGTTGGTGCTCGGACTGGGAGCTTTGGGCCTGGTCTGGTGGCTGCACAGGTGAGCAGGAGGGACCCGGCCTCGTTAAATGGGGAGTGACCAGAGGTGGAAGGGGCAGGACCAGAACCTTCGCAAAAGAAAGAGCTAGACCTAGAGCTCTGGTCCTGGCTTGGCGAAGAATGGGAGAGGTCAAAGGTGGGAGCGAGGCCGCTGACTGGTGAGTAGAGCCCCACCAGAGCAGATGAGCTGGAAGTGCAGCAGAGTTAGAGCCTGGGCTGGACTGTCGGTGGGGTAGAGTCTAAGTTGTTTCCGGTCTGAGCCTTCAAGTTGCTGGGCTGTCCTTGGCGTGGCGAGTCCCAGGAGAACCAGTGAGACAAGACTGGTGGTTCTCAAAGACTCATATGTCCCTTACAGGCGCCTGCCCCCGCAACCGATTCGACCACTCCCTAGATTTGGTGAGACTAATTCCACCCCATTTTCTTTCTCCTACATGCCCACTCCCCACCCCTCAATTCCTGAGTCTGAGCCCTTGCTGGGAGCAGACACGTTGGTCACCTTCTCTCCATCCTTCAGCTCTGTCCCCCCCACATAGCTCCACTTGTGAAAACCGAGCCCCAGAGGCCAGTAAAGGAGGAAGAGCCCAAGATTCCAGGGGACCTGGACCAGGAACCGGTAAGGGCATGGGGATGGGAAGGGGATAGCCAGAATCTCTGAGGAAAATGGACCAAAAAAAAAAAGGCCTGAACCCCAAGGAAGACTGTGGAGACCATCTTGTCTTCCTCCCCTTCCTCCTCCAGAGCCTGCTCTATGCGGATCTGGACCATCTAGCCCTCAGCAGGCCCCGCCGGCTGTCCACAGCGGACCCTGCTGATGCCTCCACCATCTATGCAGTTGTAGTTTGAAGGGAAGCCCTTACTCCAAACCTCCCAAGCTAGGGGATCCCAGCTCCCCATAATCCCTCTCCCCTCCTTGGTTCCTCACCTGGAAGAGGAAGGCACCATGGTATAGAAATAAGTGCTAGACTGGGAGTTGGGAGACCTGGGTTCCAGGCTGTCTCTGCCACTGGTCTTACTTCTAAACTTACTCCCATCTCTCCTATAACCTCCATGTCTCCCTCACCACCAGTGTCCTCTCTATACCCAATCAAGCCCTAGCTCCTTTTTTTTTTTTTTTTGAGACGGAGTCTCGCTCTGTTGCCCAGGCTGGAGTGCAGTGACACCATCTCCCTCACTGCAAGCTCCGCCTGCCGGGTTCACACCATTCTCCTGCCTCAGGCTCCTGAGTAGCTGGGACTACAGGCGCCCGCCACCACGCCCAGCTAATTTTTTGTATTTTTAGTAGAGACGGGGTTTCACTGTGTTAGCCAGGATGGTCTTGATCTGCTAACCTCGTGATCCACCCGCCCCGGCCTCCCAAAGTGCTAGGATTACAGGTGTGAGCCACCGCGCCCGGCCTGATTCTTTAAGCTGTTTTTCTTTGTTGCTGGTGTTTTCTTTTTGGACTCCTCTTCCTTGCTCCATATCCCTACAGTATTTCCCACCATTCTAGGTTTGTCCCTTTCTCTTCTTCTGGGACACTCTCATCAACAGTCAGTCCTCAGCCCCCTCCTCTGCAAATGACACTCAGAACTCTCTCTGGCTCAGATCTCAGATTTGGGATTAACAAACTTCCACTTAGACATTCTGCCTGACTGACCTCAGGCATTTCGCACTCTGAATGTCAAACCCAACTCATTGTCATCTCTGAAGCTGCTCACTTAATTCTCCTCTGTATTCTCTTTAACAACCCAGTTGCCCAACCCAGAAACTGGGAGTCACGCAGACCTCCTTTCTCTCTTACTCCCACACAATGAGCCATGAAGTCCAGTCTTTCTATCTTAACATCACTGTCAAACCCACACTGTATTCCATGCCCAGCGCTGCCACGTGAATGTACTCTGCTCACTTCCTTCCTGGATTACCCATAGCCCCACCTCATCCTCCTACCCTTGCTTTCCTCCCTGAAGTCAGAGAGATCCTACTCAAGAGATAACTGCTCCTGACAGCCCTTATTACAGAACTGAAGTACTCTCCTTAGCTTCAGCTCTGTGCCCACGTGCCTTGGCTTTGGATACAAGGTACTACAGCACTTTGTCCACTCTCCAGGCTTACCTGTGTCATTCCACATGCACATCTTAGAAAATGCCAGCCTTAGAGAATTCTCCCTAGCCCCAAAATGTCTTTGCCCAGTGCAATTCCTTCTTCCTGTATTACCCCTTTCCCTCCTTCACACTATCTGCCTGGCTAATTCTTATTTATCCTTAGTTCAAGTATGGCCTTTTCTGGGAAGGTGACCCTCCTTGGCCACCCCTTGCATATACTTTGATGCCCTAGGGCACACCCCCTTTATTTCCCTCATAGAAACAGCCTTCTGTAAATTGTTCCATGACAACCTGTATTTCAATTTGTAAGAAATTTGCATGTACTGTGAGCTCCCCAACGTCAGGAGACTGACCCTTTTGATATCATTGCTAAGCCTCATTAAATGAATGAATGAAAATGAATGTCCCTGGAAGTGTCATTTCTTTTTCTTTATCAAATAGGGGTGGACTGGTAATCTACCAGTCTCTGAATCATCTAACATTTAGATAAATTCAGTGAGCAATCCACCCATACACTCTTTTCTCTGCCCTGGACACACTTCCCATGATAGAAATTCTGTCTTGTTCATCTTGTGCTCAAGTACCTATGACATGGTTGGGCAATGAGTTGATAAGTACCTAACAAGATTTTTGAATAAGAGGCCTTCTTCCCTGCACTGACCCCAAACTCAGGTTTCAGCCCTGCCCTATCCCTTTGCCCCAGTAAGACACCAGTCACAGCCCAGTCTAAAAGGTCAATTCTATTTTATTGGTTCTGAGAGGGAGGATTCACCCAGTGGATCCTTTTCCCTACACTCTCCCCTCCCCCAATATTGAGGCTCTCTCCCAACTACTGCCTATTCAGCATTCTCTATCTAACCCTCCTTCCCCTTCTACTTCCTATACTATCCTACCCCTGGCCAGCAGTACCCCAAGGCCAGGCCCTCAGCTGTGGGGGCGTGTGCTGAGCACCAAGCAGAGGGAGCTGAGCCCGGCGCCAGCCTTCTCCAGTTCTGAGCAGGACACAGGTACCAGGGTGACATCAGAGAGCTTCTGCAGTGCCTGCACAGGGAAGACATGGAGTGGGGAGAGGGGAGTGAGACCTCAGGCTGAGCCAGGCCACTCTTCCAGCCAGCTCAGAGTGGCCCCACCCAGGCTTCTAGAGAAGGTACCCTTCCTTCCTCCCACTAGGAAAGCCTGAAACTCTTTTCTCTGATGGTGCTTGGTGTTGGAGTTCCTGCCCTCTCTCACCTCCTGGCTGTTGGGCAGATCCCCACCTCCACGGTGCAGGAGGAAAGGGGGCACACCAGGCAACCCAGGACGAAGAAAGAGACAGTCAGCAGCTGCGTCATCTGGGAGGGTCAGGGAGGCATATGGGTGATCTGTCAGCACTGCCATTGCCTAGAGGAAAGAGGAAGTGTTCGAGTCTCAGAACCTCTCCACAGCTGTGTCTGCCTGCTCAACCACCACTAAGGGCTGGGGACGGACTGACATTTGTGGAAAATAATGACAGCAAGCACATAGAGCTTACGATATGTCAGACACTAAGTACTTTAGTTACCTTTGCTAATTTCCACCTTGGAATCACATGCAGTTATTTTCAACCCCCTACCTTCCCCAGCCCCTCCTATCTGTCCTACCCATCCTTAGAGTCACAGTTTAGGTGCCACCTTTGGGGTTTCCTGAAACTCCGGAAGAGCAAATTAATCACCCCTGTTCCCAGTCCTGCTGTTGTAACTTCTTATTTTCTCCTGTGTTCTTTCATGTAAGATGGACAGCCCATTGAGGGCAGGGGTTAGGGCTAATTTCCTAAGCCTCCCAGCTCCCGGCCTCCCGGGCCCAGAACTGCGCCCACTTTCGTTGGCCCCGCCCCCTCCTCACCCGGACAGCCTTTTGGGCAGCGTCGCTGCTGCCTGCCACAACAGTGCGAGGTCCCCCCATGCCGCAGAGACCGCGCAGGTGGGAGGGACCCGAGACTGGCACAGTGGAGACGGCGAAGTCCTAGGGAGAGCGAAGGGAGGTATTCAGGGGCGCGGGAGGGGTGATGGGGTATCTTCAAACATAGGCTGCTCTCTGCCTCTCATTTCCTCAGCGGGCGCCCAGGCCCTTCCGACCCCCACCTGCACCCCCTCCCTCCCTAGGCTGGTCCCGCTCCGCACCCGGAACGTGTCCGCCACGATCTCAGCTCCTCGGTGATTGGTCCATTTGGAGAGGCCTACGAAAAACTCCCGGCCTGAGTCCGGGAGGCCGCGGAGGTTTGAGGGCGGGAGTGAGTTAGAAACAAGGCTCCAGACGGCCGAGTCTCCCAAACTCTACTTCCCTGTGCCAAGACCTATGCCTCCCCCCAGCCTCACCGGTGAAGAGAACGTCAGTGCCATCCAGCGTCGCGTTCTCGTCTCCTATTTCCACAATTCGGAGCCCCAGGTCTTGCAGGGCTTTGCGGACTCCATCGACCTTAGGATAGGAGAAGAGGGCACGGAGCTGTGACACCCCCATCCTCAATTCTTCCCCAAAGCCCCGACATCCAGTTCCTTCTGCCTTTCCCCATACCACACCCGCGCCACGGCGCTCACCTCTGGCCTACGAGCGGGGCTCCAGGGCCGCGTGATTAGGGCCGTGTCCCCTTGGATCACGGCCGTGTCGCCAAGCAGCGGTCCCAGCGGCAATGACTCCTCAGGTGGCAGTTCTAGCAGCTGTAGCCCCAGTCGTTGCCTCAGTTTACCTCCCAGCACCCCGTGCTCCCTTTGAGCTTTGGCCAGATCCAGAGCGGGAAGGCCAGCCCCCGCACCTTCCCCCGACGCCAGGCTCTCTGGGACTCCCCGGATCAGGGCATGGGAGCAGCGGCCCAGCCCCTCCCCCGGCGTCCCCATCCCATCCACACAGACTCCCCCTCCAACCGCTCGGATTTCTTAGTTTTCTTGTTTCTTCACCTGTCTGGGAGAAGAAACAGAAAAGGAGGAGACAGAGAAAAAGACATGCAGACAAGGGCGTTGGGGGTGGTTAAGAGCGCCCAGGTCTTCCTCCTGCCATCTCTAGGCGTCCCTCCCACTCCGCCCCACCCACTCCAGACCTTCCGCTCCTGTCGACCTCACTCTACCCAGCACCCTCAGGGGTCAGATTCTTTAAGAGGAGCCTGAGGAACAAGGCTAGGGTCTCTAATCTCCAAAACACCTGTTGCCCCTGCTTGGGGGCTTGTGAGGTCCCTGTCGGGCGCCCCTCTTGGCAGCCACTAGGATGCGCTCACTCCCCAAAAATGCAGCAGCCCCGCCCCCTTAACCCTCAGCTGCTCGCTACCGCAGGGACTGGAAGTCCAGCCCGCGACCCGCAGGGGTTATGGGACAGAAGGAGAAAGCTGGAGAGGCAGGGGCTGGGGAATGGAAGTCCTGAATACCCGAACGAGAAGGGAGAGAGGTGGGTAGGAAGGGAGGAGTTCGAGCCTAAGGAGTTAAGCATCCTCTCTCCGCCCTGGCTGGTCACGCTGCCCCTAGCGCGACCTAGTATAAACCAGACCGAGTCCCGAAGGACTGGGAGAGGTCTAAAACGAAATGCGAGGGGCGGGGTAACAGGGGGCGTGGTTCCGGGGCGCTGGCACTACTCCCGGCTCCAGGACCCGGTTCCCCGTCTATGTCCCAAAGTCCACCCCGCCTAGCTCCGCGCCCAAATACCGGCTCCCCATACTCTCTGTCTGGTGCAGGCATGGGCCCGGCACCCCCAAACTCCGGCCCCCACACGGTTCAGGGCCCCCCACGCAAGACTCACCTCCAGCGGCCACCCCCACTCCTGTCGCGCTGTGATCTCGGCTGGGGCCCCACCCCCCGAGGACAGAGTTGGTGGAGAAGGGAGTCCCCGTCTTCAAGCCTCGGGGACTGGGAGCTCTGGCTTTTAGCGGGGGTCCTTGTGTAGGCGAGCTCATATACTACGATGGGGCAGGGGCGCGACGGTCTGGCGGCTCCGGGGCATTGTCTAAGCGGGACGGGGCGGGGCTTCTTCGGGCCACGCCCATTCCGCCCTGCTAAGCCTCGCCCATTACATCCAGACTGCGCCCCCCTTGCCAGAAATCGGCACCGCCCAGCGAGCGCTGCCCAGGCCCACCCAGATCTGGCCGGCCCTGGCGACGGGGCTGCAAACGCTTCGTAGACCTCAGAACAGCGCAACGGCGGACCGGCGGACCGGCACGAAACATAGCAGCCCCACCACAAACATTTCCCTTCTTAATTCCTGGCTTCTGCCCTGAGCTCAAGATCACTGACCCACCCCTCATTCCATGTCGCCCACACTTTAAACCCCCATTGCGTAAAAACACTTGATTTTTATTCTGTATTTTATTACTGAAATATGTTGTCCTACTCATCCCACCCCACAATAAAAATCTGACCCAGGCCCCCCATTTCTTTCCCTCATCCCCTCTTCCACCACACCATCCCGGAACAAGTGCTCCAGGATTCCCTGCCCACTGGCCATTTTGGAGTGTGTCCATTGGGTAGCAATGTGGAAACCACCAGGGCCTTTGTGGAGAAAATGGAGGGGGTTGAGGGAGTCCCAGGAGGGGCTTATTTGAGGGCCTTTGCCACTTGCTCATAGGCGAGCTCGATCTCCTCATCATCTGGACAGGTGGAAGCGAATTCTTCCCGGGCGTAGGCATTGCTCAAGTACCGATGCACTCCCCGGAAGGCCTCGGGGATGGTGAATCCCCGGTACTTCTTACACACCACCTGAGGATGGGGAGAGGAGAGGGACCAACATGTTAGACCCAGGGAAGCCACCTTGGCTTTCCCTTCTCCCCAGGCCGACATGATAAAACCAGCTCAACTCCTCACTGTCTTGTACTGTCGTTAGCCTTCCTTCTCACTTACTGAAATCCTGGCTTTTAATAACCAGCCATTTTTCCTGAGTTTTTAAAACTTGAGATATAATTTACTTATAAAATTCTCCTCTTGAATTTCCACAGTGACTTTTTCCCCCTATACCACTTCAGGCACTGACACAGGTGACTTTTGTCTCTATATTTTTCATCAGACTTTTTTTTTTTTGAGATGGAGTCTTGCTGTCACCCAGGCTGGAGTGCAATGGCGCGATCTTGGCTCACTGCAACCTCCGCCTCCCGGGTTCAAGTGATTCTCCTGCCTCAGCCTCCCAAATAGCTGTGATTACAGGTGCCCACCACCATGTGCGGCTAATTTTTGTAATTTTAGTAGAGATGGGGTTTCACCATGTTGGCCAGGCTGGTCTCGAACTCCTAACCTCAGGTGGTCCACCAGCCTTGGCCGCCCAAAGTGTTGGGATTATAGGCGTGAGCCACCACGCCCGGCCCATCTGACTTTTCATCATATATTCTTAACTTTCATGTGAATATTTTATTGTCTCAGATTTCAACCCTTTGAGAGCAAGGCCCAGTCACCATACACTTGTGTATCTTTCAATGCTTAGTACACAGATGTTCACTACATAGTTGTGTGGCAGACTGATGTCAGGCCCATGTTGCACAAACTAAACCATAGCTTTGAGACTATGACAAAAACATGGGAACCAGCAGTTTTGATCTTCCACAAGAGGAAGTGAAGACTGAAGTTATAAAGAAAGTTAAAGCTTTGACTTTAGGAAAAGCCTGCTCTGTCTAATCTGGGAATTTGGCAGTGATACCGAGACAGGAAGAGCATTCTTCAAAAGTAATACTGGGATGTATTCCTCTTTGCTAGTCTGTTTGCACCCATGACTTACATCATGGAATATAATTATCTCAAGCAGTGGTCTTGTTAGCAATGACTGCTGCAAAGGACTGGGGTGGGGTCTGCCATTGGTAGCAATTTATGAAAACCACCCTAAGAAAGAAATCGTCTTTAGAGTGGTTGTCAGGGGAAGCCCATGTGGGAGCTCCTTAAAGGGCCACTCCAGTGGTCATCCTCTCCTCCCGCAATAACCACACACCTGTACTATGTGTAACTTTGGCAACAGGTTGCAGTCAGCCAGGGTGAGCTCGTTGCCATCCAAAAACTTCCTCTGAGAGACACCTTCATCTTCAGCACTGGTTTCATCCACTTCTTCTGGGAGGGGGGATGTTAAGTAATTGTCTAAAACCTTCAGGGCTTTCAGGAGTCCCTTCTCCAGATCTGTGCAAGAGAGGGAACTGATTAGAACTTCAGGAAAAGATTGACATAGTCCGAAAAGGCCCGTTGGGGGTGGATACTAATGGTGAGTCCAAAATAATAATAGCTAACACTCATGTAGTTACTTTTCTATGTGTTATTCTAAGCACTTTACATTTTATTTTATGTTAGACGGAGTCTTGCTCCGTTGCCCAGGCTGGAGTGCAGTGGCATGATCCCGGCTCACTGCAACCTCTGCCTCCTAGATTCAAATGATTCTCCTGCCTCAGCCTCCTGAGTAGCTGGGATTACAGGTGCCTGCCACCACAACTGGCTAATTTTTGTATTTTTTTCAGTAGAGACCAGTCATGTTGGCCAGGCTGGTCTCCAACTCCTAACCTCAGGTGGTGCGCTAGCCTCGGCCTCCCAAAGTGAACACTTTACATTTTACAAACTCATTTATATCGCCGGGTGCAGTGGCTCACTCCTGTAATCCCAGCACTTTGGGAGGCCGAGGCAGGTGGATCACCTGAGGTCGGGAGTTCAAGACCAGCCTGGCCAACATGGTGAAACCCTGTCTCTACTAAAAATACAAAAATTAGCTGGGCGTGGTGATGCACGTCTGTAATCCCAGCTACTCAGGAGGCTGAGGCAGGAGAATTGCTTGAACCCGGCAGGCAGAGGTTGCAGTGAGCTGATTGCACCACTGCACTCCAGCCTGGGCGACAGAACGAGACTCCATCTCAAAAAAAAAGAAAAAAAAAAATTTATATCAACCCATGAAATAGGTATTGTCATCCTAATTTTGTGGATCTGGAAATGGACTTACAGAGAGGTGAAATGATTGCTCAAAATTATACGGCTAGTTGGATTTGTACTCAGGTAGTCTGGATCTAGAGTGATGACTGTTCTTAAGCATGACCCTATTCTGCCAGAAAACAGGCCAGCAGCCAACTAACGTCCTCAGTGGGGCAGAAGAGGCTAGGGAACAAATGAGAAAAGCTTAAAAGTCTTGGCCAATGAAAATGCAGGGAAATATAGAGGTAAAGCAAAAATGGGAAGCTGGGGGAAATTTACGAACATCTGCTTCATCTCCCTGATATCTGAACGTCCAGGTGCCCCTAATGTCTCCTACCCGCTGGGTCCTCTCTATTCCTCCCAGGACCCAGGCCTCTGACCCACAAGACTCACTGTCATTGAGTGCTGGGTTTGAATTCTTGATGTAGGCAGAAAATTTGGCAAATATGTCCAGCCCAGCTGTGTTGGACTCAGGGTTCAGAGCTGCCAGCTTGGGGTACCTGAAAGCCAATGGGAAAAATGAGGTAAGATGTCTTCCTGGGAGGAACCTCAGCTAGCTCTCCTGCCCCAGCCCCACCACCATCTCTGTTTTCCATTTCTGCAAACTGTCTGTTTCCCAGAATCTCCCTGCTCCACCTCTCCACTTTCTGAGTGCCCCTATACCTGGGAGGGCACAGCACTGCCTCCAGAAATTCCTCAATCTTGTTGGTGTCTGTGTGCACTTCAGTGCCATACAGCAGGAATGGGAGCTGCCCCCCTGGGCACAGCTTCTGCACTGTCTCGGTCCGCCTGGAGAAAGGATCAGGAATCAGGACTGGAAATGGGGGTCAGGAAGAACCAGAAAGGGGGAATGGAGGACGTGGGATAAGAAAGGGACTCCAGGGGGAGGGCAAAAATGTTCATGACAGAAGGACTCGGGTGGGTGTGTGTTTGCACACATGTGTACACCAGGGGTGTTTCAAGGAACATAAGCAGGCCTACCTTTTGGTGTCAACGGTGGTAACATTGAAGGTGACTCCCTTGAGCCACAGTACCATGAACAGTCTCTGGGAGAATGGGCAGTTCCCAATCTTGGCCCCATCACTGCCAGCCTGAAAAGTAACCCCAACCCAAGGTTATGCCTGATGCACCCCACCCATCCCTAGGCCAGTCCCTGCATTCCCACTCCCAGACCAGCTGTTTTCTGCCTAGTCATGACACATACACTGTCCCCTCACTATGGGCTCTTTGCCCTTGGGCCTGGGTCAAACCTAAGGCAGATCAATGGGAAACTGTTTTGCAAAGGCAGGCTTCTGGTTCCCCAGACACTGAGGACAGGTGGGAGGTAGGTAGAGGGAGGAGGTCCTGGAGAACTTGGGAGGATCTGAATCCTAGAGAGGGAAGGGTGTGGAACTTCAGTGAGGCCAGAGTTGTAGGCTAGAAGCCTGGATTTCTGGGTTCCTGAAGGGAGTAGAGTCTGAAGACAGGAGAGGTGGGTGGGGTTTGGGAGCCAGAGTTTTGGTTCTCTACACCTCCAATCCAAGGTGTCTTTGGGTGGGGAGTCTAGTCAAGGGGCCCTGGGCCTCGCGCTAGAGATGTGGAGGGCCCTACAGAGAGGGGCTGCCCTCTAATTAGCAAGTGGTGACCTCATTGGCCCAAGGGACACCTCCCCCTAAGCTGAGGGTGATTCATCTCTCTGTCTCCGGCTTCCTTCCTGTCAAGGATGTGGGGGAAGGGACAGTGAGGATGAGGCCTGGGCAGCTAAGGCTACCCCTAACCTGCTGCCAGGGTCTCCCAGCACAAGTCCTCTGACTGCAATAACCATCCTCTCACAGGACACAGGGCCGGAATCTCTGCGGCACAGCCTCACCCACGAGTAAAAATAGCCCCGGAGGCGAATGTGAGAGTGAGGTGGGGACCACACCTAAGGGGGCGGACCCAAGCAGGCTCCGACTTCCCTGGGCCCAGGGAGAGGGAATGGCTGCCCGAGAAACCCAAGCAGAAGGGAGAGGGAGACACAGGCAGAGACACACAAAGATGAGAGAAACAAAAGGGGGGAAGGGGAAAGAAAGGCGGCAGGAAAGTGGAGAGTGGGGAGACGTGCGTGCCAACGGAGAGACACAAACGGAGCGGGGAGAAGAGGACACTGTTAAGGAAGGGAGGGAGGGGCACAGCCAGGAGGTCCCAAGACTGGGAAATGAATGCAGCAGCGGTAGGGAGGGGAGCGGCCGCTGCAATCAGAGGGGGGCTGGGTGACACCGAGAAGCCTGCTGCCTGCAGTTTTGCTACCCAAATGCCATAGGACCATCTCTCCTTACCCACACCCGCAGAGAGAGGAGAGAGTTGGGGCAAGTCTTCTACTTCTCCAACCCCCAAATCCCAAAATGCCCTAACCGAGCTCTTCTCCTCCGTCTGATCTCTCTCCCACCCATCCTTGTGGTAGCTACGTTAAACTCACGTCTTCTTGCCACCTCCCCTTCTGTCCCTTTCCCCAGTCCTGGGGATATTCAATGCCACCCGATCACCTCTCCAGCTCTGCTTTTCAAACTCCGATCCCAGTCTCCTGTTTTGTTCCGCCCCTCCAAAGCTTCCCAATTTACTTGCTCTCACTCTCAGGCCTCCCTCAACACACCGTCTTCCCTGAAGCGTCTCCATCCACACACACACACACACACACACACACACACACACACACACACACACCTCTCCTACTGCACTACTCACCCTCAGATCTTGTAGGGACACATGTCCTAACTGAGGTTCCCCTCTGTCCCTTCTAAACCCTGCTGGGCCCCCACTGTCCCTTCACCAGCTCGCCCTCTAACCCCACCCCAGTCTCACTTTTGGGAATTCTCCTTTTTCTCCACTTCCCTTCCTTTAGTCTGCTAGAAACTTGCACTTTTACAAACTTTTCAGGGTTGATCCTAGAATTCTCATTACTTGCTAACAAGTTAATGTCTTCCCCTCTCAAAACCACCCCTCAACCAAAGAGTGCACGTGGGATTGGGGGTGGGAGTCAAGGAGGGAAGGGATTGGGGAGTTAAGGCTGGACCGGGGGAAAGGTGAGAGTTGGCTTCCAGGAATTTGGGTGGCTGAGGAGAGAAGTGTTCTTACCTTCACGAACAATTCGACCTGCGGTTGTTCTTCAGCCATGGTTGCGTCGGGGACCAGGAAGTGGCCGTCCCTGGGGGAACTGGGAGGGGCTGGGACCGGGGAAGGCGGGTCTCACACTCAGGGACTCTCTCCCCTAGACCCAGGGCTGTCCCTTCAGCACAACACAAGCTCAATCAGACCTACTTGCACCCAAACTAGGCCTCCCCACCAGCCCAACGCACCCCACACCCAGCTCCTCCAGCTCGGTCCTCTCCCGGGCTGGATCAGAGAGCCGCTGACTCACCGACCGGCCCCGCCCTGAACCTGGGGAGGGGACTGGAGGGGGGCGGGACTCGACGATGTAGGGAGTGAGTCCGGAAGGGGAATCCTCGGATCTCCCACAGGATGGGGATGGGGGTGTTAAGGAGGAGTCCTGAAAACCTCCTTGTTTCTCCGACCTCTCCTGAACACAGGACTCTTTTCTGCCTCAGTTTCCCTGCTTCATTAATCTGAGTACAACCCGACTGACCCTCATATAAAAAACTTGACACTAACAGCTTGGGCACACCCGTGAAGATTCAGGGATGGGGACTTCAAATGGAAAGGTGGTCGTTTAATCATTCTGCATTTCTTCCAGACTCCAATCCAAATTCTGGGTTGCTGGGACTGTGGTCTGAGAGAAGAACTCGGAAGTGGAAGGCTGGGACTGCAGATAGGAACCGTTAGCCATGCAGCCTGGGATTAGGGAAGGGGTGACGCCAGCACTCCCTGAGCTGCCCAGACTGGTGTCTCAGTAGGTCCTGTGCCCCCCGCAGTCTACTGTCTCCGGGCCCAGCTCAGCACTAGGACTTGCAGTCCTTGTGGCCTACACTTGGGATTGGGCATAGGAAATAGAGTTAGGGGCCGGGTGAGGTGGCTCACGCCTGTAATCCCAACACTTTAGGAGGCCAAGGGGGGTGGATCACCTGAGGTCAGGGAGTCAAGACCAGACTGGCCAACATGGTGAAACCCTGTCTCTACTAAAAATACAAAAATTTGCCAGGCGGGGTGGTGGGCACCTGTAATCCCAGCTACTTGGGAGGCTGAGGCAGGAGAATCAATTGAACCCGGGAGGTGAAGGTTGCAGTGAGCTGAGATGGTGCCATTGCACTCCAGCCTGGGCAATAAGAGCGAAACTCCATCTCAAAAAAAAAAAAAAAAAAGAAGAAGAAGAAAAGAAAAAGAAAGTAGAGTTAGGGATGGGAAGGGAGATGACGAAGTCTTTTGCGAAGGAAACATAAAGCCGAGGCAAGGGGCTTTGTTGCAGGGAGGGGTCTGTTCCTGTAGCTTGGTCAGCTTTGTGCTTCCACTTATGTTTCCTATTGGGGCCCCTTCCTGTGCCCTTTGTCCTCGTCTCACTGACAGGTTGCCTTGGAGATGGGGCAGAGGGGTGGGATTATCATGGCCCGATCCTGAAGTATGTGTATAGGGGGTGGGGTAGGGGTGTTGTTAGCTGGTCCTGTCATGGGGATAAAGAAAGATCAGACAGAATAGTGGGAGTAGAGTCCTTGGGGACACCTAAATAAATAAGCAGGGAGGACATAGGAGGAGCAGCTCTCTCTCCAGTAACCTTGATTTCTATTAAACCTTTATGACCTGCTGAAAAAATAAACCCAGAATTCCAGCCTCCATATCCTGAATTTCTCTCCTGTCCAACCATCCCTTCTCTATCCTCCTCATCACCCTCTGTCCAACAAAAGACCTACAGTTCCAGAAAACCATGGTGGAGTGCAAGAACACAGAACTAAAACAGAGCTTGAAACTTAAAGAAAGGGAGAGACTTGGGGGAGGAGTGGGGTGGAGTGACGTGATGTGCTGCTGGAAACCAGCAGTTGGTGGTTTCCTCTTGTGCTTCCTCTTCTGTGGGTTTTCTCCTGCTTGTGGGAGGGCCTTTTTCTCTCCTCCCGACAGAAAGGCTATCTTTGGTGTTCGTTCCCTTGAACTGTAACATCCTGTAAGGGTATGATTCCATGCCTCTGTGTGGGTGTGAATTCCCTCATGGTGACCCTCAAAATCTGCACACAGGACCCCTTCCCATTGAGGGGAGGGGATCAAAACAACTCTACTTCTCAGGGTCCTCTCCTGTTCCAACTGGTCTGTGTCCAAGAGAAGCCTTAGGTAAATGGGGCCAGCTTGAAGATCAAACAGGTTTGGCAGCCTCTCCCGGCCTCTCTTTTCTCTCCTACAGCTTTATAGCTACAGCTGCCTTGATATCAATATTGACTTTGGCTGGCTGGCATGACTACCCACAGGGTATCGTGCCTTAATTTACCAGGTGACAGGCAACGCTGCCCTCTCCTGGAACCATCCAGCAGAGCCAGGGCTGTACCCCCAAATCCTGCAACAGAGGTTTCCCTCCATCTCACCTCCCTGTCCCTGCATTTCTCCTATCTCAGTAGCTCCTCTTTCCCTCTCTGGGCTTCTCTTTCCACTCCCTCCCCTTCCTGGGCTTGGTAAACTAGTCCCTAATCTCTTCACACCCCAGATTGGAAGGTGGGTCCCTCCCTGACACTCCCCAGAGCTGTCACCAACCTCCTCCAAGTTTCTATAGCTCCATTGCTCAACAGATTTGCCAGGGGTAACCATTAACCCAGCCCTTAACTCTGTTCCCCCACCTTTCTTGCTGGAGGGGATTTTCCAATTACTGGTTAGCACAGCTAGGTCATCTCACCCCCACCATCTTTCCTAACTTCTTGGGTTGGGGGGCTGGGGAGGAATCTCCCCATCTCAGGGTACTAGGAACAAAGCTGGGGAGGATGGTGCATTTAAAGGGATTATATATATATATATATATTTTTTTTTTCTTTCTCCCTCATAACCCCACCCCCGCAACACACACACACACACACACACACACACACACACACAGACGCACAAATAAGCTTTATGGAGCAGTGACTTCATTATGTTCACCGCTTTGAGTCCAACCCCTGGCCCAAAATAGGCACTAAATAGTTGCCGAATGCATGAATGATAGATACCTCTCTGTCTTCAGGGGTGTGTAGAAGTGCGAAGGGGTATGGGCATGTCCCAGTAGGGGTGTGAGTGTTCTGATCAGAACTACTTCTCTCTGCCAGAATTTGATGTAATTCGAATGCTTCCACCTCTGCTTGAAGGGTTTAAATAATAAATTAGGCCCTGTCGTGCCATTATGGGGGTGGTCATACCCTGTACCCAGGAAACAGGCACGGTAGGGCTGAGACAGAAGTCCTGCTTGTTTCCGCTTATTTATTTGAAACACCGCTCATTTAGGTCTTACTTTGTTTGCCAGGCACTGTTCTAAGCTCTGTATAAATATTAACTCAGAGGGTACAAATATTAACTTAAGAGTTGTTGCAGGAAAAAAAATAAGCGCCTCTGGCTCTTTAAGTTTGGCCTCCCCCTCAAAACCCCCGCAACGGTCCCAAACCCCTTCCAGGGACTGGGACTACGGACCCTGGTCCGACCTTCTCGCGGGCTTCCCACTGCGCCAATCAAATCCCAGAAACAGTGAGTGCTAGAGGCCCGGCTGCTAAGCAACGGCAGAGGGCGGGAAGTTTGAACGTTCTGGACCCGCCCCGAAGGCAAATAGGCCAATCAGCGTCCAGACTCTTCAGCTACGGCAGTCCGCTTCTCCTCCTCGCCCTGTCGGATCTCTAGGCTGGATCCGGGCCTCTCCAATCAACAGCGGCTAGGAGGGCGGGGCGCGTGCGCGCGCACCTCGCTCACGCGCCGGCGCGCTCCTTTTGCAGGCTCGTGGCGGTCGGTCAGCGGGGCGTTCTCCCACCTGTAGCGACTCAGGTTACTGAAAAGGCGGGAAAACGCTGCGATGGCGGCAGCTGGGGGAGGAGGAAGATAAGCGCGTGAGGCTGGGGTCCTGGCGCGTGGTTGGCAGAGGCAGAGACATAAGACGTGCACGACTCGCCCCACAGGGCCCTCAGACCCCTTCCTTCCAAAGGGTAACCTCCGCGTGACAGGAATGAGGGTGGGGCGCGTGGAGTTTCCCACAATCTGTACTTTAGTTAAATACCCGAGAATTCACCTCCTGTGTCCACAGCTCTCCACGCCCCTCAGCCCTGCCCCGCAGCCCTGTAGCAGAAGTACTTAGTGCTTTGCATTCTGCGCGCCACCCTACCCCGGCCTCCTCTGTGAATCGTTGCTTCCGAACCGCCCTCACTTTTTGCATCCGCAGAGCCTCCAAGCTCATGGCCTCCTTAGGAGCGAACCCAAGGAGGACACCGCAGGGACCGAGACCTGGGGCGGCCTCCTCCGGCTTCCCCAGCCCGGCCCCAGTGCCGGGCCCCAGGGAGGCCGAGGAGGAGGAAGTCGAGGAGGAGGAGGAGCTGGCCGAGGTCTCTGAGGGGAGTAGAAACTTGAATGGAGAGTTGATGGGAAGTTAGAATAAAAGAGGGTTGGGAGCCGGGCGCGGTGGCTCACACCTGTAATCTTAGCACTTTGGGAGACTGAGGCGGGCGGATCACCTGAGCTCAGGAGTTGGAGACCAGCCTGGGCAACATGGCGAAACCCCGTCTCTACTAAAAATATAAAAATTAGCCGAGCGTGGTGGCACGTGCCTGTTATCCCAGCTACTGGGAAGGCTGAGGCAGGAGAATCACTGTAACTCGGGAGGCGGAGGTTGCAATGAGCTGAGATTGCTCCACTGCACTTCAGCCTGGGCGACAGAGCAAGACTCCGTCTCAAAGAAAGAAAGAAAAAAAAAACAGGGTTGGGAAGAGCTGGGCAAGTCTCTTACCTCCTGAGTGGCTGTTTCACATTCACTAAATGGGGGTGATGATGCCTATCTCAGAGATTTGAGAAAATGATTAAATTATATAAGACATGGTAAACCCTACACTTATGAGTGATTCTAATAGTGATTTCCTTTCTTCCTTGCTGGACAGATCCATCTGTGTGTGCTGTGGAATTCAGGATACTTGGGCATTGCCTACTATGATACTAGTGACTCCACTATCCACTTCATGCCAGATGCCCCAGACCACGAGAGCCTCAAGCTTCTCCAGAGAGGTGGGGATGGAACCATGAATTCCTCTGCTCTCTGGGATTGCAGATGTGTTACACACACACACACACACACACACACACACACACACACACACATATTTTTTTTTTCTAGACAGAGTCTTGCTCTGTTACCCAGGCTCAAGTGCAGTGGCGCAATCTTGGCTCACTGCAGCCTCCACCTCCTGGGTTCAAGCAATTCTCCTGACTCAACCTCCCGAGTAGCTGGGACTACAGGCGTGTGCCACCACACCCAGCTAGTTTTTTGTGTGTGTTTTTAGCACAGACGGTGTTTCACCATGTTGGCCAGGGTGGTCTCAAACTCCTGACCTTGTGATCCGCCCACCTTGGCCTCCTAAAGTGCTGGGACTACAGGTGTGAGTCACCACGCCCAGCCATGTTTTACTTACATTAACTCACCTCACTGTCTAGCATATTTTGTGTTGCTGTAAGGAAATACCTGACTCTGAGTAATTTGTTAAAAAAAAAAAAAAAGTTTTATTTGGCTTATGGTTCTGGATGGTTGGAAAGCTCAAAATTGGGCATCTTCACTGGTGAGAGCCTCAGACTGCTTCAACTCATGGAAGAAGGGAAGGCAGGGTGTGTAGAGGTCACATGGCAGAGAAGAAGCAAGGGGGAGGGAGATGCCAGGCTCTTTTTGACAACCAGCTCTCTCAGGAACTAATAGAGTGAGAACCTCTCACTCATACCCACCAACACACTCCAGGAAGGGCATTAATCTGTTCATGAGCGATCCACTCCCATCACCCACACACCTCCTGCTAGGCCCTACCTCACAACACTATCACACTGGGGATTAAATTTCAACACGATATTTGGCAGGGACAAATCACATCCAAACTATAGCACTGACTCAATATATTTTACAGTTGCTTCACAGAGGCTCCCTCTTTTGTTTTTATGAATTCATTTCATTATTTAACAAATATTTGTGAGGCTGTTTTTTGGTTTGTTTGGTTGTTCTTTTTTGAGACAGTGTCTTGCTCCGTCACTCAGGCTGGAAGTGTAGTGGTGCCATCTTGGCTCACTGCAACCTCCGTCTCCCGGATTCAAGCAATTCTCCTGCCTCAGTCTCCCGAGTAGCTGGGATTACAAGAATCTGCCATCACGCCTGGCTAATTTTTATATTTTTAGTAGAGGCAGGGTTTCACCACGTTGGCTAGGCTTGTCTTGAGCTCCTGGCCTCCAGTGATCTGCCTGCCTTGGCCTCCCAAAGGGCAGGGATTATAGGCATGAGCCACTGTGCCTGGCCACAAATATATATGACGTATTTACAATGTTTCAGGTGCTTCAGATTCAGCCCTGGGCAAATCAGTCATGTCTGTTCTCCAGGGGTTTACAGCCTAGTGACAACATCCAGAACATCCCACTTCCCTCTCACCATCCCACCACTCTTAACTACTTTTCTAAATCTCAACTTCTACCTGTGTTCCCACTGTGCAGAGCACTCCCTACTCCTAGGGAGGAAATGTTTTTGAGAAGGAGAGGGGTAGGAAGAGGAGGGCTATGGGTTTTCTCTTAGTCAAAGACAAAGATCCTTTAACTCATTTGATCTCTGTTCTCCTTCCAAGTTCTGGATGAGATCAATCCCCAGTCTGTTGTTACGAGTGCCAAACAGGATGAGAATATGACTCGATTTCTGGGAAAGCTTGGTAAGGACTTGGTAAAGGATAGAGGGAAAATGGGGAAGGACTAATATATGGAATATTCCAGGGGGCTAGAATTGGGTGAGAGGGAGTGTCAGACAGAGGTAGAAGGACTGAGATGTAAAGAATGATAGCCTTTTCTTTCCTCCCCCACAGCCTCCCAGGAGCACAGAGAGCCTAAAAGACCTGAAATCATATTTTTGCCAAGTGTGGATTTTGGTATCTCCTTCCTTTTGCTTTGCCTAACTCCCTGTTCCGGTGTCCCATTCTTTCCCCCAACTCTACCTTCATCATCACAGATCTCCCCTCTGCCTTATGTCATCCTAAACCTTTGTGCTCCTCATGCCCTATGACCTGTCCCCCCAAGATCTCTCCTGCTCCCTACCCTTTAATAACCTGCAGCTTATTGGGAAGCCTCTGCTTAAGTCATGTCTAGGGATGAGGGCCTCCCCTGAGGAGTGGTGACACTTTTTGGACAGGGTTTTATTGTTGGAATTCTCCCCATTAAGTTAAAGCCTTTTATCACCAAACCAAAAGGCACTGCCTCAGTGACCCTTATTATGATCCATAAGGCACTTCTATAACTTTCCTAGGTTTACAATAAGAACAGGAGTGTACTATCCTAATTAGATATTAAGGCATTAGTGTTACTAGTTCTATTAATACCATTATTTTGACCAAAATCCTCAATTCCAGACAGATGTCTACTTTCCTCAGCCATTTATCTTTCTCAGGCTGTGCTTTCAGACAAGTATCTTTATATTATATGTAGAATAAAAAGAGAATTAGACTAAGAGTCTGAAAATTTGGTTCTTGCTCTAGCTTTCCATTAACTGCCTGTGTGAGCTTGGGCAAGTCAAATAATCTCTCTTGCTTCTATTGTCTCATTCTTAAAATGGGGTGAAAAAATTGAGCTACAAGACCGTTCCCTTTGCTTGCCTCCCTCAAATAGGTCTGGAGATAAGCAAACAACGCCTCCTTTCTGGAAACTACTCCTTCATCCCAGACGCCATGACTGCCACTGAGAAAATCCTCTTCCTCTCTTCCATTATTCCCTTTGACTGCCTCCTCACAGTGAGATTGGTCCTGGGGGATAAGGGCTGGGAGGCGGCACAAGTGCTAGGGCTGAATTCTGGGAGGTACTGGCCTAGCCCTGGAAAATAGTAACTTTCCCTGGTGCTCTGCAGCCCCCAGGAGATTTAAGATTTACCCCGATTCCACTGCTGATCCCCTCCCAGGTTCGAGCACTTGGAGGGCTGCTGAAGTTCCTGGGTCGAAGAAGAATCGGGGTTGAACTGGAAGACTATAATGTCAGCGTCCCCATCCTGGGCTTTAAGAAATTTATGTTGTAGGTGATTCACCCCAACCCCAACCAAAGTAATGTGGGATTGGGAGGCCTGAAAAGTAAAGTGGGGGTGGGGTGTGGATGTGGCTGTGACCCAGTGGGTCAAGTGCTCTAGGACACCCGGGAGAATCTAAGGGCTAATGAGACTTTGGGAAGAAGACTGGGACAATATTCAGAGAGGGGGACAAAGGAAGTGGAGTTGTGGAACGAACTCAGACTGCTTCCTGCTTTTTTGTTTTCTGTCCTCAGGACTCATCTGGTGAACATAGATCAAGACACTTACAGGTAAAGAGGTGGAGGCATGCTGCTGTCTCTGGGGAGGGAGAAGGATTAAGTTTAATGCCCCAATAATCCTAATGAGGCTCTAGTTTCCCTAATCCTGGGGCTATTAAGATCTCTCTCCTTGAAGGAAAGGGAAGGGGGGTTTTGAGGGAAAGAGAGGAAGAAAAGCATAAAGATACTAGCTTTCTTTTCTATAGGGAGAAACTGAGGCAAAGAAAAGTAAGGGACAAACCTTACATCAAGATATGATCTCGGCTGGGCGCGGTGGCTCATGCCTGTAATCCCCGCGCTTTGGGAGGCCAAGGCGGGTGGATCGCCTGAGGTCAGGAGTTTGAGACCTGACCAATATGGTAAAACCCCGTCTCTACTAAAAATATAAAAATTAGCTGGGTGTGTTGTGCGCCTGTAATCCCAGCCACTCAGGAGGCTGAGGCAGGATTGCTTGAATCCAGGAGGCAGAGGTTGCAGTGAGCTGAAATTGCACCACTGCACTCCAGCCTGGGCGACAGAGCGAGACTCCATCTCAAAAAAAAAAAAAAAAAAAAAAAGACGTGATCTCAGGAGGATATCCCCTGTCCCCATTCCATTTATCAGTCCTCAATTCTTATTCCCTTCAAAAGTCCAAGTTACCCCAAACTCCTCCATTTCTCCTCGACAGTGTTCTACAGATTTTTAAGAGTGAGTCTCACCCCTCAGTGTACAAAGTGGCCAGTGGACTGAAGGAGGGGCTCAGCCTCTTTGGTAGGTGTGCCCCATCCCTCATCTCACATTACAAAGACCTACCAGAAAAGCAATTGGCTCCAAAGATGTGTCCCAGCCTCCCTTCCCACTTCACTCCCATTGTCAGATATCTCTTTCATGCCAATCCAAATTTCTTACCTATTTGTACCCCCCGCCCCCCAAGCTTGAGCATCTTCCCATACTTTGTGGCTGTACAGTGTTGTTGCATATCAGCCATTACTTTACCAATTCTGTGTTCCTTCCCTGGGTTTGTATGAATGTTTCTACTAGTTGGGTACCTGTTAGGGACTTTGGGAGACCTTGTGTATAGAGAAGAGTTTTGTAACTGCATAACTGCCTATTTGATTTGTATAGAGTCTTTATCAGTTGTCTCTGGCTTTAGGGTATATTAGGGACATCTCCGCAAATATCCATATAGTTTCATATCTCAGTAAGTTGTGTCCAGGTTTTTTTTTTTTTTTTTTTTGAGACAGAGTCTCGCTCTGTCGCCCAGGCTGGAGTGCAGTGGTGCAATATCAGCTCACTGCAAGCTCTGCCTCCTGGGTTCACACCATTCTGCTGCCTCAGCCTCCTGAGTAGCTAGGACTACAGGTGCCCACCACGATGCCTGGCTAATTTTTGTATTTTTAGTAGAGAACGGGTTTCACTGTGTTAGCCAGGATGATCTCGATCTCCTGACCTCGTGATCCGTCCACCTCGGCCTCCCAAAGTGCTGGGATTACAGGCGTGAGCCACCGCGCCTGGCCAGTTGTGTCCAGTTTTGTGTGTGTGTGTGTGTGTGTGTGTGTGTGTGTGTGTGTGTGTGTGAGACGAAGTCTCGCTCTTGTCCCCCAGGCTGGAGTGCAATGGTGCGATCTCGGCTCAATGCAACCTCTGCCTCCTGGGTTCAAGCGATTCTCCTGCCTCAGCCTCCTGAGTAACTGGGATTACAGGCACCTGCCACCACGCCCAGCTAATTTTTGTATTTTTAGTAGAGACGGGGTTTCACCATGTTGCCCAGGCTGGTCTTGAACTCCTGACCTCAGGGGATCCACTCGCCTCAGCCTCCCAAGGTGCTGGGATTACAGGCATGAGCGACCGCGCCCGGCCGTCCAGTTTTTTACATATGTGTGTTGGGCTCTTGAGTTTTTTGTTTGTTTGTTTGTTTTTTAGATGGAATCTTGCTGTGTCACCCAGGCTGGAGTGCAGTGGTACAATTTAGGCTCACTGCAACCTCCGCCTCTTGGGTTCAAGTGATTCTTCTGCCTCATCCTACCTCAGCCTCCTGAATAGCTGGAACTACAGGCCTGCACCACCATGCCCAGCTAATTTTTTTGTATTTTTAGTAGAGATGGTGTTTCGCCATGTTGCCCAGGCTGGTCTCAAACTCCTGAGCTCAAGTGATCCTCCTGCCTTGGCCTCCCAAAGTGCTGGGATTATAGGCATGAGCCACCCTGCCCGGCCAGCTATTGAGTTTTTGTATTTTTGGAGGGGCGGGAGGGCTCTTGAGTTTTTTGTGTTTTGTTTGTTTGTTTATTTGTTTCGTTTTGTTTTGAGACGGAGTCTTGCTCTGTCACCCAGGCTGGAGTGCAGTGGCGCGATCTCCGCTCACTGCAAGCTCTGCCTCCCGGGTTCATGCCATTCTGCTTCAGCCTCCCGAGTAGCTGGGACTACAGGTGCCTGCCACCATGCCCGGCTAATTTTTTGTATTTTTAGTAGAGACTGCGTTTCACCATGTTAGCCAGGATGGTCTCGATCTCCTGACCACGTGATCCGTCTGCCTCGGCCTCCCAGAGTGCTGGGATTACAGGCGTGAGCCACCGTGCCTGGCCAGTTCTTGAGTTTTAACTAGGTCTGCTTTGTGTATTTTTCTGGCTAAGTGTCCCTGTGAGTGTCCATCCCTTCCCCCATCTCCATGTACGGTAATCCCAGCTCATATTTGTGGCCAGGCACCAGCTTTGGCTGCCTTTGTGCCCTCCCAGGCCAGCTTCCTCAACAACCAGCACCTCTGACCTGGATGCCTCAGCTTAGACACATAAACACATTCCATTCCCTGTCCCTGCCTTGTAACAAGTTCACTCCCTGCCTTATCCCTCACAGGAATCCTCAACAGATGCCACTGTAAGTGGGGAGAGAAGCTGCTCAGGTGAGTGGGTCCCACACATACTACACACTAATGCATGAATTCCATATGCACACTACATACTAAAGCCTACTAATGGCAGTATACAGATTCTCACATACACCACCCCACCTAGTAGTAGTAAAGCAACTGCCCTTTACTGAGCACTGGCTAACTGCATTTCATCCTTATAACAGCTTTGTGTAGTAGCTGATATGCATCTCATTTTTTGTTGTCAGCGCAGGTACACATATACCCATTGATGATACACAGACTTGCACACATACAAGCAGCAGGAAAAAACACAAAATGTAAGGCCGGGCACAGTGGCTCACACCTGTAATCCCAGCACTTTGGGGGGCCAAGGTGGGTGAATCACTTGAGGTCAGGAGTTTGAGACCAGCTGGCCAACATGGTAAAGCCCCATCTCTACTAAAATGCAAAAATTAGCCAAGCGTGTTGGTAGGTGCCTGTAATTCCAGCTACTCAGGAGACTAAGGCAGGAGAATCGCTTGAACCCAGGAGGTGGAGGTTGCAGTGAGCCAAGATTGTGCACTGCACTTCAGCCTGGGCAACAGAGTGAGACTCCGTCTCAAAAAAAAAAAAAATGCTAATGTAACACATGGCTATGTTAGCATGGTTATCTTTAGTTATAGAAAACACACTTCACATTTCTGTGATGACTCTCAAATTTGTGTCTCTAGTTTTGAACTCCGTATGTGAATGTTAATTGCATATCACCACCTGCAGTTTTCACAGGCAGCTCAAACTCAGAGCATCCAAACTGATGCCCACCAGATCTGTTCCTCTTCCTGCATTCCCTTTGCTGGTTAATGGCATTGCTGGCAGTACACCTTCTCAAGCCATGAACCTTGGATTGATGCTAGAAACAAAAAACCTGTCATTCCAAAACAGAGATCTAAGCATGTCACTCCTTTTTTTTTTTTTTTTTTTTTGTGACTGAGTTTCGCTCTTGTTGCCCAGGCTGGAGTACAATGGCACGATCTCTGCTCACTGCAACCTCCACTTCCCGGGTTCAAGCAATTCTTCTGCCTCAGCCTCCCAAGTAGCTGGGATTACAGGCGCCCACCACCACACCTGGCTAATTTTTGTATTTTCAGTAGAGGCGGGGTTTCACCATGTTGGTCAGGCTGGTCTCGAACTCCTGGTGATCCGCCCACCTCGGCCTCCCAAAGTGCTGGGATTACAGGCATGAGTCACTGCGCCTGGCCGTCACTCCACTTTTTAAATAGCCTAAGTAGAAAGAAAATAACATAAACCTTAGGAGGTTTTCCCATTACCTTCAGGATTAAGATTAGCATCTTAAGCAGTATAATGATGTTCAGGGTCCATCACGTTTACCCCAGTTTTAATTTCCAGACTCACCTTCCAAAGCCCCTTCTAAGTCCTTTCCTACTGGATCTACCTTATATTCTAGTCATTTAGGGCCACTTGCCATTATGGAAACATGTCATGCCTGTGTTTATGCTGCTCCTTCTGGAAAGTCTTTTTTTTTTTTTTTTGAGACGGAGTCTCCCTCTGTCACCCAGGCTGGAGTGCAGTGGCGCGGTCTTTGCTCACTGCAACCTCCACCTCCCAGGTTCAAGCAATTCTCCTGCCTCAGCCTCCGGAGTAGCTGGGATTACAGGGACCCACCACCATGCCTGGCTAATTTTTGTATTTTTAGTAGAGATGGGATTTCACCATGTTGGCCACGCTGGTCTTGAACTGCTGACCTCGTGATCTGCCCACCTCGGCCTCCCAAAGTGCTGGGATTACAGGCATAAGCCACTGTGCCCGGCCTGGAAAGTCTTTTCCTTGTTCTGTACCTATCAAAATCTTACATCCAGGTCAGGCGCGGTGGCTCACGCCTGTAGTCTCAGCATTTTGGGAGGCTGAGGTGGGTGGATGATTTGAGGTCAGGAGTTCAAGACCAGCCTGGCCAACTTGGTGAAACTTCACGTCTACCGAAAATACAAAAATTAGCCCAGCATCATGGCGCATGCCTCTAGTACCAGCTACTCAGGAGGCTGAGGCAGGAGAATTGCTTGAACTCGGGAGGTAGAGGTTGAAGTGAGCCCAGATTGCCCCACTGCACTCCAGCCTGGGCAACAGAGTGAGATTCTGTCTTAAAAAAAAAAAAAAGTGCATCCTCTTCAAGGTGCAATCCAACTGTTACCCTTTGGCTTTTACAGGTACCTGTAAGGAGTTGATGTGCACCTTCTTTGTGCTCACATAGTGCTTGTTTATGTTTTTCTAGTTGCACTGTCACATCATGTTAGAATTAGCAGTCAGTGAATCTGCTTGCCTCCATAGCTATGAACTCTATCTAGTAGCTATACCTGTTACCTCAGTGTCTGACACATGGTCTTGTACATAGTAGCACTCAATGTGTGAACACAACGCAAATGTAAACGCACTGGTGACATCATCTCTAAACAGAGTGGAAACCTTTGCTAGCCTCAGGTGCACAATCCTTCCCCTACCTCACCTCCCGCTGCAATGTGTATCTTGTAGGAGTTAATTTAGGATAATCTCTGAGGTCATCTCCAGGTAATCAGCATCTCCAGGAATCGGCAGGGTAATTTAATTACCCACACATTCTTCAGTGCTTCAGGTGCAGATCTTTAATCTCAGCCACAGATGGGAGGGAGAGAATTCTCAGTGGAGAAGAGAGCTGGATTTAAGGTCGGGGAGGAATGCGTATTCCCCAAATGGAATCAGACAGGGCATGAGATCATATAACTTGAAGAATCATCATATAATCTAATGAACTAAGGACAGGTGACATATTTATTAATATTTCTGTATACGAATTTATTTTAATTTATTAGGAAATACCTCTAACGTACAAAAAGATGTAAATAATAATATAGGGCCAGATGTGGTGGCTCACGCCTATAATCCCAGCATTTGGGAGGCTGAGGCAGGAGGATTGCTTGAGGCCAGGAGTTCAAGAACTAAAAGCTGTACAGGCACCAAGAATATGACTGAATGTCACAGTATGCTCTAAAGGGCACTGTCCTAGGAGTCTGGAGACATGATTTTGAGACTTAGCTGTTCTCATTGGCGGTATGACTTTGGGCAAGTTGCTTATCTTTTAACGGTTTCATTTTCTCAGTTGTTAAATTTACAGTTTGGTTTAACTAAAGTCTCTCCCAGTACGAGCAGGGCGTGAGTCAGAGATACCTAAGTGTTTAGTGCAGCGCATGTGCTTTCTAAAGTGGGGATGGCTATTTACAGACTGGCCTACACTGTTCTGGTGGGAGCCCTCAGTGACCAAGGAGCAGAGGTACCTGAAACCCACCCTTGAAGCCATCTGGATGCTCCGCTTCATTCAAATCTGGGGTGTTCTAACCCAAAGTAACTGGCCACAGACTGCAATGTAAGATACAAATCTTCAGGACCTAGTGTGTGCACATGTTGGCTCTTATATAAGATGGCATCCTTAGTACTTGTTCTATGTAGAAAAGAATTTGTGGGCTCACAAGTCCCTACAGAGTCTCACACTCTCATGGCCAATAAGTATACAGGGATACCCGGAATTAGACAAACACAGATGAGACATTTATTTCTGTATATGAATTTATTTTATTTATTTATTTATTTTTTGAGACAGAGTCTCACTCTGTCACCCATCCTGGAGTGCAGTGGCCTGGCTCATTGCAAGCTCCACCTCCCGGGTTTACACCATTCTGCCTCACCCTCCCGAGTAGCTGGGACTATAGGTGCCCGCCAACACGCCCGGCTAATTTTGTTGTGTTTTTAGTAGAGACGGGGTTTCACCGCGTTAGCCAGGATGGTCTTGATCTCCTGACCTCGTGACCCGCCCTCCTTGGCCTGCCAAAGTGCTGGGATTACAGGCGTGAGCCACCGCACCTGGCCTGAATTTATTTTCATTTATTAGGAAATACCTCCAACACACAAAAAGATGTAAATAATTAGCCGGGCGTGGTGGCTCATGACTGTAATCCCAGCACTTTGGGAGGCCGAGGCAGGTGGAACACCAGAGGTCCGGAGTTTGAGACCAGGCTGGCCAACATGGTGAAACCTCATCTCTACTAAAAATACAAAAATTAGCCGGGAGTGGTGGTGCACCCCTGTAATCCCAGCTACTCCAGAGGCTGAGACACGAGAATCGCTTGAACCTGGGAGGCGGAGGTTGCAGTGAGCTGAGATCGCACCACTGCACTCCAGCCTGGACAACAGAGCAAGACTCTGTCTCAGAAAAAAAAAAAAAGATGTAAATAATAATACTATCGGGCCAGGTGCAGTGGCTTATGCTTGTAATCCCAGCACTTTGGGAGGCCATGGCAGGAGGACTGCTTGAGGCCAGGAGCTTGAGAACAGCCTGGGCAACATAGCAAGACCTCGTCTCTATAAAAACTATTAATAGTAATACAAATGGCCAGGCGCAGTAGCTCATGCCTGTAATTCCAGCACTTTAGGAGGCTGAGGCAGGCAGATCACCTGAGGTCACGATTTTGAGACCAGCCTGGCCAACACAGCGAAACCCTATCTCTACTAAAAATACAAAATTTAGCTGGGCATGGTGGCACACACCTGTAGTTCCAGCTGCTGGGGAGGCTGAGGCAGGAGAATCACTTAAGCCTGTGAGGCAGAGGTTGCAGTGACCCGAGATCCCGCCACTGTACCCTAGCCTGGGCGACAGAGCAAGACTCCATCTCAAAAATAATAATAATAATACAAATATCTATATATCCATCAGCCAATTTAAGAATAAGACATGCCGGGCGCGGTGGCTCATGCCTGTAATCCCAGCACTTTGGGAGGCCGAGGCGGGTGGATCACAAGGTCAGGAGTTCAAGACCAGCCTGGCCAAGATGGTGAAACCCCGTCTCTACTAAAAATACAAAAATTAGCTGAGCACAGTGGCGGGTGCCTGTAATTCCAGAACCTGGGAGGTGGAGGTTGCAGTAAGCCAAGATTGTGCTACTGCACTCTAGCCTGGGCGACAGAGCAAGACTCTATATAAAAAATAAAATAAAAAAAAAGAATAAGACACTATTGGCCGGGTATGGTGACTCACGCCTGTAATCCCAGCACTTTGGGAGCCGAGGCGGGCAGATCACGAGGTCAAGAGATCGAGATCATTCTGGCCAACATAGTGAAACCCTGACTCTACTAAAAATACAACAATTAGCTGGGCATGGTGGCGCATACCTGCAGTCCCAGCTACTCGGGAGGCTGAGGCACGAAAATCACTTGAACCCGGGAGGTGGAGGTTGCAGTGAGCCGAGATCGCATCACTGCACTCCAGCCTGGCGACAAAGCGAGACTCTGTCTCAAAAAAAAAAAAAAACGAAAGAATAAGACGTTGTTGAAGCCCCTTAAATGTCCCTCCCCAATCCTTTTTTCTCTGCAGTGTTGACCATTATTATGAATTAAAGCTTATCATCCCTAATGGGACAGTTATGTTTTCACAGGAAGAATATGAAAAGATGAATGTCTGTTGCTGTTACCCAGAGACACTTTCACAGCTAAAAAGACATACAAACTCATACTGACTCACCGTCTCTTACTCAGCCTCAGAGTGAGCTGCAGTGTTGGCACACAAATACCTCAACACACTGCTCTCCTTCTAAAATATTGACAAGCTCCGTTACTTATATACATGGAATGACACACGGTCTTATCCGTTGAAACTGTGATATGTAGACACAATTATGCTCACATCTAGCAATTTTCAGTAGATACATGTAAACACACCTGAATGGGTAGGACACTGCACTTGCCACTACATTCCCATAGCACATCGTGGATACATATTGCCACAATCCCCAGGGACTGCAAGCACACTTTTTGGCAAACTGAGATCAAGATGATAGATGTAACTTGTAGTACCCCCACCCAAACCCTCACTTCCAGGCTATGGTTCACACGTCCGACTCATGACCTGGGGGAGCTCAGTTCTCGTCTGGACGTCATTCAGTTTTTTCTGCTGCCCCAGAATCTGGACATGGCTCAGATGCTGCATCGGCTCCTGGGTCACATCAAGAACGTGCCTGTGAGCCCAGGGTGGAGGGCAGGGAGGTGGGGAAGGAGGTTGAGGGCTGATACTGGGCAGTGGGCTTCTTGAGGGGCATTAGAGTGAGGGAAGAGAAAACAGCGGCTGTAACCTTGTCTGACTGTAGCTGATTCTGAAACGCATGAAGTTGTCCCACACCAAGGTCAGCGACTGGCAGGTTCTCTACAAGGTAAGGCCTTCCTTCTTGAATCCCAAAAGTCCAGGTAAAGGCCCTCAGCCTGTATTCCAGACTGTCTGTACCCTAGACATGCTGTCCAATTTTATTCTACCCTCTTTTTTTTTTTTTTGGAGACAGCCTCGCTCTGTCGCCCAGGCTGAAGTGCCATGGGGCGATCTTGGCTCACTGCAACCTCCGCCTCCTGGGTTCAAGCAATTCTGCCTCAGCCTCCCGAGAAGTTGGGATTACAAGCGCCCGCCACCATGCCTGGCAAATTTTTGTATTTTTAGTAGAGACAGGATTTCACCATGTTGGCCAGGCTGGTCTTGAACTCCTGACTTCAGGTGATCCACCTGCCTCAGCCTCCCAAGGTGCTGGGATTACAGGTGTGAACCACCAGGCCCGGCCTCCCTCTTTTTTTTTTTAACTTTGTATTCAGGAAAATGTAAAAAATATTTAGAATAATATAATTAACCCCCATGTACCCACCATGCAGTTTCAACACTTTAACTTACGCCAATTTTTTTTTATTTCTTTTTCTTTTTTTTTTTAGACAGAGTCTTGCTCTGTCGCCCAGGCTGGATTGCAGTGGTGCGATCTCGGCTCACTGCAACCTCTGCCTCCCAAGTTCAAGTGATTCTCCTACCTCAGCCTCCCAAATAGCTGGGATTACAGGTGCCCACCACCACACTGGAGTGATTTTTGTATTTTTAGTAGAGATGGGATTTCACCATGTTGGCCAGGCTGGTCTCAAATTCCTGGCCTCAAGTGATCTGCCCATCTCGGCCTCCCAAAGTGCTAGGATTATAGGTGGGAGCCACCGTGCCCAGCCTAGTATGTGTCATCTATATCTTTTTCTACTTTCCCCTCTTGGATTATTTTGTGGGTTTTGTTGTCGTTTGTTTGTTTTTTTAAATAAGGTCCTGCTTTGTCACCCATACTAGAGCAGAGTGGTGCAGTCATATTTCATTGCAGCCTCTAACTTCTGGGCTCAAGCAATCCTCCCACCTTAGCCTCCAGAGTAACTGGGACTATAAGCCTGAGATGCTGCACCTGGCTTTCTTGGATTATTTTGAAGCAAGTCCCAGCCATTATATCATTTCATCCATAAATATTTCAGTGTAATTTCTTTTTTCTTTTTTTTTTTTTTTTTGAGATGGAGTCTCACTCTGTCACCAGGCTGGAGTGCAGTGGCATGATCTCGGCTCACTGCAACCTCCGCCTCCCAGGTTCAAGCGATTCTCCTGCCTCAGCCTCCCATGTAGCTGGGATAACAGGCACATGCCACCATGCCCAAGTTTTTTTTTTGTATTTTTAGTAGAGACAGGGTTTCACCATGTTGGCCAGGATGGTCTTGATCTCCTGACCTCGTGATCCACCCGCCTCGGCCTCCCAGAGTGCTGGGATTACAGGCGTGAGCCACCTCACCCGGCCAATATTTCAGGGTAATTTCTAAAAGAAAATTATTTTTTAAAAAGAATAACAGTATTGTTATCTTACTTTAAAAATTGTATTATTTGGTATCATCAAATATCTGAAATTTTTCTTTTTTGAGACAGGGTCTCACTCTGTCACCCAGGCTTGAGTGCAATGGCACAATTGTAGCTCACTGCAGCCTCAAACTGTTGGGCTCAAGCGATCCTCCCCCCTCAGCCTCCTGAGTAGCAGGGACCACAGGTGATGGCCATCACACCGAACTAAGTTTTTATTTTTTGCTTGCATTTATTTATTTATTTATTTATTTATTTATTTATTTATTTATTTATTTTTGAGACGGGATTTTGCTCTTGTAGCCCAGGCTGGAGTGCAATGGTGTGATCTCGGCTCACCGCAACCTCCACCTCCTGGGTTCAAGTGATTCTCTTGCCTCAGCCTCCCAAGTAGCTGGGATTACAGGTGCGTGCCACCACGCCCAGCTAATTTTGTATTTTTAGTAGAGACAGGGTTTCTCCCTGTTGGTCGGGCTGGTCTCGAACTCCCGACCTCAGATGATCTGCCTGCCTCGGCCTCCCAAAGTGCTGGGATTACAGGCGTGAGCCATTGCACCTGACCAATTTTTTATTTTTTGTAGAGACAGGATCTCACTATGTTGCTCAAGGTGGTCTCAAACTCCTGAGCTCAAGTGATCCTCCTGCTTGGGCCTCCCAAAGTGCTGAGACTATTGGTGTGAGCCACGATGCCCAGTCAGATGATGGCCCTAGTCCTTTTTAATCTACCGGTTCCTTCTCTATCTTTTCTCTCTTGTTCTTTCTTTCTTTTTCTCTTTTTCTTCTCCTGGCAATTTGTTGAAGAAACTAGATTATTATTTGTCTTATAGTGTTTTCCATTAGCCTGGATTTTGCTGTTTGCATTTCCTAGATGTTTTTGGCACATTTCTCTCTCTTCTATAGTTTCTGTAAATTAATATTTAGTTCTAGAAGCATGATTAGGTTCAGAGTTTTTTTTTTTTCAATACTGTTTTAGAAGTAGAGGAACATAATGTCTGATATGTCCGATTGTCTCTCTTTTTCTGATGTTGGCAAATGTTCTGATGTTTAATACCTAAATCTATTATTCATTTATTTATTTATTTATTTAGTTTGAGGTGAGTCTCCCTCTGTCGCCAGGCTGAAGTGCAGTGGCACGATCTTGGCTCACTGCAACCTCCGCCTCCTGAGTTCAAGTGATTCTCCTGCCTCAGCCTCCTGAGTAGCTGGGACTTACAGGCGCACACCACCACGCCCAGCTAATTTTTGTATTTTTAGTAGAGACGGGATTTCACCATGTTGGCCAGGATGGTCTTGATCTCTTGACCTCAGGTGATCCACCCGCCTCAGCCTCCCAAAGTGCTGGGATTACAGGCGTGAACCACTACACCCAGCCATCTATTAATTCTTTAGCAATTACAAAGTAGTAGCATTTAAATCTCTGATTCTTTCTTCATTTATTAGCCAGAAATTTCTGTAAAGAGAAACTTCCTTTTATGTACTATTTGGTTGCCAAGTGATAGAAATCATATAGAAATACAGAAAATTGCTTGATATTTCCCCCACTCTTTTTTTTTTGAGACAGAGTCTTGCTCTGTCACCAGGCTGGAGTGCAGTGGCACAATCTTGGCTCACTGCAACCTCCACCTCCCGGGTTGGGTTTCAAGTGATTCTCCTGCCTCAGCCTCCCGAGTAGCTGGGACTATAGGCGTGTGCCACCATGCCTGGCTAATTTTTGTATTTTTAGTAGAGACAGGGTTTCACCATGATGGCCAGGATGGTCTTGATCTCTTGACCTCGTGATCCACCCGCCTCGGCCTCCCAAAGTGCTGGGATTACAGGTGTGAGCCACCATGCCCAGCCCTTTTTTTTTTCCCCAATATGGAACGCTTCTTGAATTTGTGTCATCCGTGCCCAGTGGCCGTGCTAATCCCTGTAACCTTCGAAATTTCAGTATATGTGCTGCAGAAATGAGCACCCCCCACCTTTATTTACTAGCTATCAATATGGTAAATTAGTTCCCTAACATTCTCCAAGATAGCCATGAGATTTTTTTGTTTTTTGTTTGTTTGTTTGTTTGTTTGTTTGAGATGGAGTCTTGCACTGTTGCCCAGGCAGGAGTGCAGTGGCGCGATCTCGGCTCACTGCAAGCTCTGCCTCCCGGGTTCGCGCCATTCTCCTACCTCAGCCTCCTGAGTGCCTGGGACTACAGGCGCCCGCCACCACGCCTGGCTAATTTTTTGTACTTTTAGTAGAGACAGGGTTTCACCCTCTTAACCAGGATGGTCTCAATCTCCTGACCTCGTGATCCACCCGCCTCAGCCTCCCAAAGTGCTGGGATTACAGGTGTGAGCCACCGCGCCCGGCCCTGATAGCCGATGAGGTTTTTTTGTCATTGTTCTTCTTGTATCATTACAGACTCATGGCCTTTTATAGCTATATTTCTCTTTCTCCCGACTCTGTACAAACTCCTTTGTTTTAGAGTTTGCACAACCCTCTATCAAAGCACCTACCACCTCACTTTTAAATCTTCTGCATGTATTTCTGTCTTCCTTCCTAGACTGTGAGCACATCTGGGACAGGGACCATATCTTTTTTTGTTTATTTGTTTTGTTTTGAGACAGAGTCTCGCTCTGTCGGCCAGGCTGGAGTGCAATGGCGTGATCTGGCTATAACCTCCACCTCCCGGGTTCAAGAGATTCTCCTGCCTCAGCCTCCCAAGTAGCTGGAATTACATGTGCATGCCACCAAGCCCAGTTAATTTTTGTATTTTGAGTAGAGACAGGGTTTCACCATGTTGGTGAGGCTGATCTCGAACTCCTGACCTCAGGTGATCTACCCACCTCAGCCTCCCAAAGTGCTGGGATTACAGGCATGAGCCACTGTGCCTGGCCAGGACCATATCTTAATTGTCTTTGTAGTTTCAGTGTTTGGTACAGTGCCTCTCACTGTTTCTTTTTGCCTTTGAGATCTTCCCTCTTTGTTACTGTGATCTTCCCTACTGGTCTTTGTTCTTCTGAGTCTGTCCCTATCACCACCTCAACCCGAGCTGGATGTGGCCTGTCCTCCTTTTTGTGTTTCTCTCACAGACTGTGTACAGTGCCCTGGGCCTGAGGGATGCCTGCCGCTCCCTGCCGCAGTCCATCCAGCTCTTTCGGGACATTGCCCAAGAGTTCTCTGATGACCTGCACCATATCGCCAGCCTCATTGGGAAAGTAGTGAGTAGAAGGAAAAAGGGAGTGCACCCAGGGAGGTCAGGGAGAGAGAATGCAGTGTGCAAGATGGGGAAACATGGAAGATATTGAGGTCAATTGGATAAAGAATGGGATGGTGGGAGGAGGCAGCAGAACTTCAGGGAAGTATCTGGAGGGTGAGAGTTAAAGGAGGACTGCAGGGAGAATTGGGGCCCAAGGAGAGCTGAGGAACAGGACAGAGGGTGCCAGGTCCTAAGAAACAGTACTTATCTCCTCAGGTGGACTTTGAGGGCAGCCTTGCTGAAAATCGCTTCACAGTCCTCCCCAACATAGATCCTGAAATTGATGAGAGTGAGTGTTGGGTGTGGATGGGCCTGTGAGCCCTGCGCAGTGATGGAGTACCATCCTTGGCAGGTGGTCACCACAGCTGGGGATCTTCATAGCAACCAGGGCAGGAGACTCACTTTTGATAACCACGTGTCTTCCACCCTCGTAGAAAAGCGAAGACTGATGGGACTTCCCAGTTTCCTTACTGAGGTTGCCCGCAAGGAGCTGGAGAATCTGGACTCCCGTATTCCTTCATGCAGTGTCATCTACATCCCTCTGGTGAGGGCAGGAGAGTGGGTGTAGCCTTCAGATGTATTTTGGGGGAGATATTAGGCTTATGAAAGACATACTGGTAGATAAGAAAACTTGTGGGGCAGCCTGAAGAACATGAACACTTTTTTGTGGGGATACAGGGATCTTTTAAGCTCCCTCTAGGGTGGGGAGGTGTCCAGTAAGTCTCCAAGCAGGAGAGTAGAGTATCTCCTCTTTACTCTCCCCAGATTGGCTTCCTTCTTTCTATTCCCCGCCTGCCTTCCATGGTAGAGGCCAGTGACTTTGAGATTAATGGACTGGACTTCATGGTAAGACCCTCAACCTCTGTAAGGTGAGTGATGAGGAAAATGAGTCAGCAGCTGAGGAAGAGCGTTACTCTACAGCAGCACTGCCCAATATGGGATCTCTCCTCTGTAGTTTTACTCTGAGCTTTACCAGCACTGAGACAAAGGAAAGAGAAGTCAGAGTTAGGGGCTGGAGGTGGGGTTAGAAAGATGGGGAAGGAGAGGAGGACCAAGAGATGCAAAGTCCACAGCTTTGAACCCCTGTACCCAGTTTCTCTCAGAGGAGAAGCTGCACTATCGTAGTGCCCGAACCAAGGAGCTGGATGCATTGCTGGGGGACCTGCACTGCGAGATCCGGGGTGAGGAAAAGCCAGAGGTTATATGCATTGTAAGATGTTTAAAAAAAGCAGCAGCCAGGGGAAGGAGGGGAGTGGGCAACTTGGGGATGCTTCCAACAGGCCCCTCCTCTTCCTGCTCTCTGTCTCGCTCACTCTGACTCTATCTTTTCCTCTGAATGTCTTGAGGTCTCAGATTGTATCTGCAACCTGTTTCCAGATCCCCCTAGGGGCCTCTGCCTCTCCTTCACTTTCCCCTGGAACTGACCTCCAGCTCCCTTCCTCACCCACTCCCAGACCAGGAGACGCTGCTGATGTACCAGCTACAGTGCCAGGTGCTGGCACGAGCAGCTGTCTTAACCCGAGTATTGGACCTTGCCTCCCGCCTGGACGTCCTGCTGGCTCTTGCCAGTGCTGCCCGGGACTATGGCTACTCAAGGCCGCGTTACTCCCCACAAGTCCTTGGGGTACGAATCCAGAATGGCAGGTAAGAATAGAGGCGGGTGGAGGAATAGACATGAGGGGCCCAAAGGCTACATCTTCTGGGGGTTCATCTATCTTGATCCACAAGCCATGCGAGGTGCCTCTCCGCCCACTGCAGACATCCTCTGATGGAACTCTGTGCCCGAACCTTTGTGCCCAACTCCACAGAATGTGGTGGGGACAAAGGGAGGGTCAAAGTCATCACTGGACCCAACTCATCAGGGAAGAGCATATACCTCAAACAGGTGAGGAGAAGCCCTGCAGCCTGGGCCT
Source organism: Homo sapiens (assembly GCF_000001405.40). Taxonomy (NCBI): domain Eukaryota; kingdom Metazoa; phylum Chordata; class Mammalia; order Primates; family Hominidae; genus Homo; species Homo sapiens. The sequence goes on from NT_167247.2 coordinate 3,102,134, forward strand.
CTGGCGTCTCCTGCATCTACTCCACCCCTACTTGCCAGCCAACTCAGGCTCCTGCAGCTCTTCTCCCATTTTCTGACCCCGCTCTTCATGAAAGGACCATCACCCACATCCCTGTGCTTCCACCTCACATGTTCTTATTCTCCACTGGAGAGCCATGCTCTAATGGAACTTTCCGTGGCCCAAATTCCTTCACCTGCCTCTGAGTAGGTACACACCACTCCCAAGTATGTCTCTGCCCACGTCCCGTGCCTCTTCACTGATTCTAAATTAGCCCACAGGGCTATGGTCAGGATTCGGGGAGGAGAGACAGAGTCAGTGTGTCTGTTACCTATTTCTCCTGTTTCACCCTGTCCATTTCTCTTTGATGTGCCATTCATGCCTTGAGCCTCACTTTCACCTCAGCCCACGGCACCAGGCCCCAGGCCCTGTCTCCTTCCCTATTCAGGTAGGCTTGATCACATTCATGGCCCTGGTAGGCAGCTTTGTGCCAGCAGAGGAGGCCGAAATTGGGGCAGTAGACGCCATCTTCACACGAATTCATAGCTGCGAATCCATCTCCCTTGGCCTCTCCACCTTCATGATCGACCTCAACCAGGTCAAAGGGAACAAAGGGAGGTGGGATTGAGGAAGGGGATAATGGGAAAGGAACCCCTGAAAATGCTCATAACAGGAAAGCATGCCCTCTGCTGCATGCCCTTTATACTAAAAGTGGGGAGCACTAAGGTCAGAGATAAGAAGAATCAATACCATAAACATTTCTTGAACCCTTGTTTCATGTGAGTCACTGTTGGCAAAGAGGATGAACAAAGCGTGCACCTCACCATTCAAGAACTTGCAGTGCAGTAGGGAGGGCATGTATACAGCTTTATTCACAGGCCAACTGTGGTCAGTGCGTTACGGGCTTCCAATACTAACTTTCCCTTGTCCACCTTATACCCAGCAGGTGGCGAAAGCAGTGAACAATGCCACTGCACAGTCGCTGGTCCTTATTGATGAATTTGGAAAGGGAACCAACACGGTGAGGGGAGAAACTGATGAGGGGAGAAACTAAGGAGGGGAAAATGGAGGAGGATGAAGGAGCATGACAGTGAGGCTGGGCCTCTGGAATGGAATAGGGCTGTGTGGGCAGAAAAGAAATAGAACACGAGACAGGGAAAGGCAGTGCAAGTGCAGAGGGGCATATGGGGTCCCCATGGCTCCGAATGCTAACCTCTGCCCTCTTTGCAGGTGGATGGGCTCGCGCTTCTGGCCGCTGTGCTCCGACACTGGCTGGCACGTGGACCCACATGCCCCCACATCTTTGTGGCCACCAACTTTCTGAGCCTTGTTCAGCTACAACTGCTGCCACAAGGGCCCCTGGTGCAGTATTTGGTGAGGAGACCAATCTAGCTCCTCGGGGACCCCCAGGCTGGGCATTTCCCAGAGGTGGGGATTGGCTCCTCTATCAGAACAAGGGCTCCCTCAGCACAGAGACCACATCCCTTCCCTTTTCTCCCTCCCCACAGGATTGGCCAAGGGTTTCAGGACAGGAAGGAGGTGATTGATGATACACTGTCTTTTATTCTCTTTTAAGACCATGGAGACCTGTGAGGATGGCAACGATCTTGTCTTCTTCTATCAGGTTTGCGAAGGTGTTGCGAAGGCCAGCCATGCCTCCCACACAGCTGCCCAGGCTGGGCTTCCTGACAAGCTTGTGGCTCGTGGCAAGGAGGTGATGAGATCCAAATGTGCAACCACCTCCACATCAGAGCTCCCTTTCATTCCTAGTCCTACTGGGCCTGGGTCTAGGTCCACAGGATTTCTGACCCTTATTTCCCCTTCTCTTCCCCACTCCCCTTACTCCTCCCACCTTCTTGCTTGTTCCTAGGTCTCAGACTTGATCCGCAGTGGAAAACCCATCAAGCCTGTCAAGGATTTGCTAAAGAAGAACCAAATGGAAAAGTGCGTATATGGCCCCAGTGTCTTTACCCTCTCTGCATCTTCTCCTGCAACTCTTCTCCCCTTTTCAGGGACTCAGCCTTCCTCCAGCACTTTGCCCTTCAGAAACCCACCATTTCTTTCTGAAATCCCTAAATCTTCAAGATCCCAGGTTTTCTGTGCCACAGCCTCTCCCCTCTGCCCAGGGATTTGGTTGTCCATTCTGCCATAAATCTTGCGATTTTCTCTCTTCTTCAGTTGCCAGACATTAGTGGATAAGTTTATGAAACTGGATTTGGAAGATCCTAACCTGGACTTGAACGTTTTCATGAGCCAGGAAGTGCTGCCTGCTGCCACCAGCATCCTCTGAGAGTCCTTCCAGTGTCCTCCCCAGCCTCCTGAGACTCCGGTGGGCTGCCATGCCCTCTTTGTTTCCTTATCTCCCTCAGACGCAGAGTTTTTAGTTTCTCTAGAAATTTTGTTTCATATTAGGAATAAAGTTTATTTTGAAGAAAGATATTGTTTCTTTAGTCTCAAAACAAGAGACTAGGAAAGATCCAAAACACAGAGCAGGAGTCCACAGGGGAACCTGCCCTGCCTCAGTAAAAATACAGTGTTGTTGCTGTAGGAAGACTCCCGGATTCTACCCCAGGATACTTCATGAGAACGAACCCCTTCAGAGAGGCCCTACAAAACAGATTAGAGGGAAGACAGAGGGGTCCAAGGGAGATGGTCTCTCTTCTCAAGTAGGAACACCCCAGCCTCAGACAGACACAGCAGGAAGGGGCCTGAGAGGCTGACAGAGGCAGGATGGGTGCAAGGCAGGGGTGGAGGGGAGGGACCAGCCCGGGCTGCACCAGTGGGAGTGGCTCCACCCTTCCCACCTCAGAGCCATGGGGAGCCAGGGCTCTGGCGGGGTGCCCTTGGTGCAGGCTCCCTACACAGTCCTGCTGCTGCCGCTGGGGACAAGCCGCCAAGACCCAGGGGCCCAGAGCTTCTTCCTTTGGGTGAGTATCAGCCCAACAAGAGGTCCCAGGGGAACTCTCTCAATAGATCTGCCCTTTATATTTCCATTCAACTTGAGGGCCCACAGTGTTCCCGCCTGCCTCCCCTTGCCCTCCAGGTCCTCAGTGGCCAGTCTGGGTTCACACTCAGTGACCACACAGTGAACCCAACTAGGGGTGGAGAGAAAGGGCCATAACCCAGAGCCCTACTGTGGCGTGAGAGTCAGCCTCTGTGATTGCCTTTCCCAGCTACGCAGGATGCAGGCTCTGGAGAGAGAACAGGATGCCCTGTGGCAGGGTCTGGAGCTGCTACAGCATGGCCAGGCCTGGTTTGAAGACCATCTGAGGGAGGCACAGCGACAGCAGCTGCATCTAGGGGCCCTTGGTGAGGTATGGGGGCTGCCCCTCTGTGTGAATGGGGGGAGGACCAGGGAGGGAGGAACAGGGAATGTGTAGACACAGCCTGAGACCACTCTGGAGAGGGGAGAGTTAATGGTCAGGGATCATGAGTTGGAGGCAGCATCGTAATGACAGGATGCCACCAAGTGTTAAGTTGGTGTTCATTGTTGGGGCTGGAGGAAGCTGGTCTGCATTCCATTCAGAGGGATTTGGATCACTCCATGGAGATGAGGGTGTGGCCTGGATTATTCCAATGGGGCAGGGATGGACAGGGAGGCTCCATGAAGAGTAGTGAAAGGGGGTATTGTGCTATTTGAGGGAGATGGAGGAACTGATGTGCTAAAGAGATGGAGGTGGAGAGTACTGGATTTTCCCACCTGCCTGGGAGGGTACTGGGACGAGGGGATCCAGATGAGAGGGATGGCCTGTGGTGACAGGAATAGAGTGGCAGACGACCTCAGGTTTTCACCATGTTGTCAGCCTCCAACTCCTCCTCTAGAATTTTCTAACAGATTTACACTCAGAGCCTGGTCGCCCCCCGTTAGCCCAGATTCAAAAGGTGAACATCTGTTTGCAGAATCTGATTCATGAGAAGGTGAGTTTATTGTTTTCAGTTTAGACTTTTGGGAAGTTGGACTAGAGAGGGGAGTTGTTGGGGTCAGTGCTGGCTTAACAGAAAACACAGCGAATTTCCCCTCCAGTTCTCCCCAAGTCCACTGAACAAGGCTAGTTCCTGCACCACCCAGGATTCAAAGGAAAGACGAAGGGAGCAGAACTTGTGGCAGCAACAGGTAAACTTCAAGAAGGAGGGCAGGAGCCCCACCCTACAGGGCTGGGAGGAGCCCAGAGGCCCCATCTGTTTCTCCTCCAGGAGTTGTCAAGGCAGCAGAAAGGAGTCACCCAGCCAAAGGAGGAGATGGCTCAGCGGGGCTGCACCAAGGGGCCAAGAGGCCCTACCCGTGTCTAAACCCTCCTCTCACTCCCCTAAGCCTGGTGAAAGAGTCAGAAGCCCCAGGCTCCTTTTTCTGTTTCTTAACTCAACAGCTAAAAAATGGCTCCAGGTAGTGAGTCAATGAAGTTCAGACATGTTGGTGTAAAGTTTCTCCTCTGCTCCTGAAAACTTCATCTTCTTGGTGTCTCATGTCCTCATTCTCCCCTATATGACATGCAAAAACGATCTTTCTTTGAAATCCCTCTGGGAAGAAGCATGTTTATTGAAACTGTCCTTCAGCCTTAAATACAAAAATAAAACTGAAACTGCTCCAGAAAGCAGCTTTCTCCAAAAATGTCTTTGGTTTGTTTCTCATAGGGTTAGGAAAAGTGCATTGTGGGAATATCCATTGCCCTCTATCCCAGTCTTGCAGGGTGTTTTGTTTTGTTTTGTTTCTGAGATAGGGTCTCACTGTCGCTCAGGCTGTAGTGCAGTGGTTCGACCACAACTCACTGCAGCCTCAACCTCCTGGGCTCAAGTGATCCTCCTGCCTCAGCCTCCCAGAGTGCTGGGATTACAGGCGTGAGCCACTGCACCCAGCCCCAGTCTCGAAGTTTCTAAGAAAGGAAAGGGATGTGATGGAGAAAGAAAACCTTCATTGGCTGGGCACGGTGGCTCACGCCTGTAATCCCAGCACTTTGGGAGGCCGAGGCAGGCAGATCACCTGAGGTCAGGAGTTTGAGACCAGCCTGGCCAACATAGTGAAACCCTGTCTCTACTAAAAATACAAAAAATTAGCCGGGCGTGGTGGCGGGCACCTGTGATCCCAGCTACTTGGGAGGCTGAGGCAGGAGAATCGCTTGAACCTAGGAGGCAGAGGTTGCAGCGAGCCGAGATTGCGCCGCTGCACTCCAGCCTGGGCAATGAGCAAAACTACATCTCAAAAAAAAAACAACAACAACAAAAAAGAGAAAACCTTCATCCCAGCTAGGAGAGGTAAGGTCCTAAGACCTATGTGACAAATGTGTCCCAGGTCTTCTTACCAATGGGGCAGGTTGAAAATAGTGCTGGAGACCCATCCCTTTAGAGCCCGTTGTGTCACCAGGAGGCCAGGCCTAGCAGAAGCAGCACCCCTCCAACTGTGCCCCACCAGGGGCTGCCCGCAGCCAGCCCTGCCCCAGCCCTGCCTTGAGTCACCAATGTGAAGGGGGAAAAGGCAGGGGTGGCCGTGGTGAGGATCGGGTCAGATGAGCCGGTAGGGGTGGTGTGCCGGTCCTGTGGGGAAAAGGAAGAGAATGACAGGGTGTGCTAGAGCTGTACTCAAATTAAACCTACACCACCCTCCCCGGCCTTGCCCACCCTGTGATGGAAAGTAGTGGTTCCTCACCTGCGGGGCTGGGGCCGATACCAGGAGCCGGAGGAAAGCATGAGTCGGGGGTACTGGGTTGGCTTCTCGTCCCCCTGCAGTCACAGTCACCATCACCACGGAATCCGGGGCCGCTGAATCTGGGACCTCCAGCCACAGGCGGCCCCAGGCCGACTCATTCAGTTCCAGGTGAGCCCTGGAGAGAGGATATAGGCGTCGCTAAAGCTCCAGGCTGCCCAGAGCCTAGAGTCGGGACGCCTGCAGGGGCACGGGAGCGGAGAGGAGGATTCTGAGGGCCAGTCGGAGGGGGACAGGGGCAGGGCTTGGGATAAGCATTGGCCGGGCAAGATGCCAGAGGGAGCTGGAGGGTTCATGAGCCTCACCTGGAGAGGTTGGAGGTGAGGGAGAAGCTGGGGTTGACGAAAGTCCTAAGGTCAAGATCCTGAGGGCCCGAGAAGCTGGCGATGCGGAGACTGAGCGGGACTTTGCTGCCCGGGGCCAAGAAACCCGAGGGGCCACTAAGCTGCAGAGAAGGGTTCTTCAGGGAAGGGGCCGCTCTAACTCTCTCCAGCCCCAGCCGCACTTTCCCCTGGCGTCTCACCTCCAGAAGGACAGGGACTACAGTGCTAGGCTGAGGGGCAGCCCTGTGCAGGCGCCGCCCCGCTGCGTCCTGGCCAATCAGCTCCAGGGAGAAGGGTCTAGGGGTGGACAGCAGCGTGGGCGACAGCGAGGCTGCGAGGAGACCTCGCTCCGGAGGTCCCACGGGCTCCAAGGGCACCTGGCCTAGTTCGGCACCCTCTGGGACCCCTCGAAGGATGACGTGGGAGAAATGCGGCTGAGGATCCCCAGGATTGGCTCTGGAACCCAACCCTGTCACTTCTACCAGCAGCTGGGTCTGAAGACCTGGGACAGGGGCGAGGAGGGGAGAACATTGTGAGATTCGGAGACACAGGGAGAAAAGAATTAATGGCCTTCAAAATAGGGGTTCCCTCTGGGGAGTATGGATGGGAAAATAGGTTACCTTCGAGGGGTATTGATGGGGAGCATCAGGAGGGAGTTCTGGGGTGCTGGAAATGTTCTATATCCTGAACTGGGTGTATTATATGAAATCCATCAAACTGTACACTTTAGTGCACATTATGTAAATTATAACTCAATATAAAAGTTATGCATATGCACAGATGTATGTATACATATATACATTATATATATAATATATATATTATATATTATATATTTTATATATATATATAAAACTGGGGGTTAGGTGGGTGGGGGCTCAGGGAATAAATGTACCTGCAACTGGCTGAGTCAGGGGGTAGAGGCCAGGGTGGGGTCCATCCTCCATGGGGATCCCAAAGTGGAAGAGGAAGTCCAGGGAGGTCTGGGCTGGGAAAGGGCAAAGGCAGTCAGAGCCCTTCCTGAAAGGAATGTGACTGATCGTGTTCTCTGAGGCCTGCAGTCTCTGCTTCCCCTTCCCAGGAACACCTCCCTCCTTACCTTGCACTCTCACCCCAGGGGTGTCCTCAGCTGTGACCTGGATCTCCCAGGTTCCTGTCTGTGGAGGGTCATCCATGGTCACCATCCAGAACTGCCCAAAGCGGCGAGTGTGACCTAGAGGACCCCCGCCTTCCTCCTGGCCCTGGGAGACCCCTGGGGTCAGGGAAGAGATTGTCACATGAAGCACTTGCTCTCCTTGAGTACATCCCCTCGATTGTCTATTCCCCGGTCCCCTCTCTTCCCTCTACCTTCAGAGGTACCTGCAGGGTTCTTGATCCAGAAGCTGCTGATGTCTCCGTGGATCCGGACTGTGATCTTCTGGAGCAGCCCATCCACGCTGAACACAAGTGGCTGCCCAGGCACCACAACAGGAGGGTCCAGGGGAAGAGTCACCTTGAGGGATTGGCAGGACCAGAAAATGGGGAAGAAGATGAGGTATGGGATGAGGAACAAAGAAGAAAGGGGAGATAGAAAGAAACCACGTCATTGGGCCGGGCGCAGTTGGTCACGCCTGTAATCCCAGCACTTTGGGAGGCTGAGGCGGGTGGATCACAAGGTCAAGAGTTCGAGACCAGCCTGGCCAACACAGTGAAACTACATCTCTACTAAAAAAAAAAAAATACAAAAAATTAGCCAGGTGTGGTGGTGGGCTCCTGTAATCCCAGCTACTTGGGAGGCTGGAGCAGGAGAATCGCTTGAACCCAACAGGCAGAGGCTGCAGTGAGCCAAGATTGTACCATTGCACTCCAGCCTGGGCGACAGTGCAAGACTCTGTCTCAAAAAAAAAAAAAAAAAAAAAAGAAAGAAAAAGAAAAAAGAAAGAAACCACGTCAAACAGGCAGAAAGGGATACCAGTAAGAGAGGGGCACGGGGCCAGGGATGAAGTTATTATGGTCAGAGACAAAGTTGGAGGCAAGGGATTCAGGATGAGACAATCACATCTTGTGCCCCATTAAAAGATGATAGGCCAGGCGTGGTGGCTCATGTCTGTAATCCCAGCACCTGGGAGACCAAGGCAGGAGGATCACTTGAGGCCAGGGGTTCAAGAACAGCTTAGTCAATATAGCAAGACTCTGTCTCTGCAAAATACAAGCCACCTCCCCAAAAAGATGGTAGGACTTCCTGTGGTAACCCTGGAGGCAGAATACTGGAAGCCAAGTGGGGAGAGGTTTACTGATATAAAAGGACAATGCAGGCCAGGCGTGGTGGCTCGCGCCTGTAATCCCAGCACTGTGGGAGGCCAAGGTAGGCGGATCACTTGCGGTCAGGAGTACGAAACCAGCCTGGCCAAAAAAACGGTGAAACCCCGGCTCTACTAAAAAAATACAAAAATTAGCCAGGCCTGGTGGTGGGCACTGGTAACTCTAGCGACTTGGGAGGCTGAGGCAGGAGAATCCCTTGAACCCGGGAGGTGGAGGTTGCAATGAGCCGAGATTGTGCCACTGCACTCCAACCTGGGTGACCATAAGACTCCATCTCAAAAAAAAAAAAAGAAGTGGCTAGTCATGGATCTAAGAGGAAGAGAAACTTCCTTTCCTGCCCCGTGACTGGAAGAACAACACAGCAGTGAGAGTGATTCCCCTTTCTCCTATAAGAAGAGAGGTGCAGCCTGACCACCCTTCAGTTCCTAAGTGAGGGCCCTGGCCCCCACTTACCAGGGCAGCCATGCTCTCCCCAACAATGGCTGCCACGTCTCGAATGTGCTGGTCTTTGGTGAAGATCACCTCTCCTCCTGAGGCCAGGGCCACTGCTTTGTATGGCTCAAAACGCAGAGGGGACAAGATCTCACGCCGAGCTCGACCCTGAACCCTTGATGTATCTTCAGTCACCAGGAATGTTACCTGTACCCAGAAGAGAGCTCAGTGATTGGGGTGTCCAAGTGCCATCCACTATTATGAATGAGAATCCCTGTGCTCAAGCTTTCTCCAGAGCTGATGGTTTGTGATAAGGTCTCTGCCTGCCTTCTGGCTGCTGGGGTGGGGAATCCCAATGACAGAACCCCCTGCCTTCAGTTAGTAGTTGGCCACCCCCTTGTAACTGTCACAGTGGATTTTTGGCGACTAGAGCCCCAGTTCTTCACATTGTTTATTAGGCAGGGTCAAATAAAAATTCAGCGTTATTAAGGGTAGGGCCTCTTACGTATATCATTAAAGGTATCAGGAAATGTTCCACTCATTGTCTGCTTCTCCCACCATATACCAAGGCTTGTTGGGCCACCATAGTGTGGTGCAACCCTCGTTATGAGATTGTCATCACAGGGTCTCTCACATCCCTGGGAGGCTAACACTGGGTCTCCCACTAGCTCTGCTCACCCGGCAGCGCCGCTCCTGAGTCAGGGATTCCACCTGGTTGGTGAGAAAGGCATCCTTGGGGGAGGCATCCGTGAAGACAAAGATATCTGAGAGTGGAGGTGTGTGCAGCAGGGCCAGCTGGCAGGGAAGGCAACGACCAGTGTTAACAATGGCAGTAGGAGGGGAATGGGTAGAGCCACGGAGGATGAAGCAGAAGGGAATATGGCCCGGGAACCCTACAGTGAAGCTAGTGGATCTAGGTGCTGAAGGTGGTGGGGAGCCCCAGGAGGGATCTAGCTCCCCCTGGTGGTGGGGCCAGGAAACGGGGAAGAAGGGAGGGGCCAGACCTGCAGGGCTGACAGGCACATCTCAGGCTCGTCTCCACCCCCCAAGGCATGGATCTCATTAAGCTGTTGCCAGAAGCTGTCAGGGTCACTGGTTGTAAAGACAGGGCCGAACCCTGGGAAGGGGAAAGGAGGTTAAGATAAGTGAGGAAAGAGCTCCCCTCATTCTTACCCAGAGCCACCTCCCCAGTTGAGGGGCCTGGTGTGCTTCTGGAGCCGACAGGTATTGAAATAACAATACTCCATTATAAGACTCATACTTGGCCGGGTGCGGTGGCTCACACCTGTAATCCCAGCATTTTGGGAGGCCAAGGTGGGTGGATCATGAGGTCAAGAGATCAAAACCATCCTGGCCAACATGGTGAAACCTCGTCTCTACTAAAAAATATAAAAATTAGCTGGGCATGGTGATGCATGCCCGTAGCCTCCCCAGTAGCCTCCCCAGAGGCTCCCCAGTAGCCTCCCCAGCTACTGGGGAGGCTGAGGCAGGAGAATCACTTGAACCCGGGAGGCAGAGGTTGCAGTGAGCCGAGATCGTGCCGCTGCACTCCAGTCTGGCGACAGACTCCATCTCAAAAAAAAAAAAAAAAAAGTCATACTTGTCAGTGCAGGGCGGGGCAGGGCGGGGCAGGGCAGGGCAGACCTAGGTGTCCCTGGTGGGAAGGTGGCCTCCACTCCCTGAAAAAAATGGTGGCATTTCCTGTAGGCCTTTATTGGCTACATGTGCGTATATAAAAAAAAAATGGTCACACCTATTATCCCAGCACTTTGAGAGGCTGAAGTGGGAGGATCACTTGAGCCCAGGAGCTCGAGATCAGCCTGGGTAACATAGTGAGACCCCATCTCTACAAAAAAATACAAAAATTAGCCAGATATGGTGGTGCTCATCTGTAGTCCCAGCTACTCAGGAGGCTGTGGCAGGAGGATTGCTTGAATCGAGGCTGCAGTGAGGCATGATTGTACCATTGCACTCCAACCTGGGTGACAGAGTGAGACTCTCCCTCTCTCTCTCTCAAAAAAAAAAAAAAAAGAAAGAAAAGAAAAAAAAAAACTGGGTTTCCTCATAAGAAAAGAGACCGAATAGCACTTACCTCAGAGGTTTATTGGGAGGACTAAATGAGTTGATTTTGCAAATCTTAAGATAGTGCTTTGACACATAAGTGCTAAGTTCTTAGTTATACCTTTATTTATATCTTCATCAAACATAATAAGTCTATTAAATGCCAGCCACTGTAGGATGTATGCAGGCAAATAAGACTCAAATTTAGGCAACTCTCAGTCCAGTAGGCATTTTATTTGATCATCATTTCAACTCTGGGAGTTAGGCAGGATGAGGGAGGTGTCAGGCCTCTGAGCCCAAGCTAACCAATCATATCCCCTGTGACTGGCACTTATACATCCAGATGGCCTGAAGCAACTGAAGATCCACAAAAGAAGTGAAAATAGCCTTAACTGATGACATTCCAACATCCTGCCCCACCCTGATGTGATAACTGATACCCATTTTACAGATGATGAAATCGAGGCAAAGAAAGTTTACATGACCAGCCTAAAGACACACAGTCAGACTCAAGCCAGAGAGTCTAACTTCTAATCAATGGAAAAGGAATACAATGTAGCTAGTTATCTCAGATGCTTCCCAGAAGCCTGGCCCCAACAACCCCATCTTGATACCAATCTCTGTCTATAGGAAATGGAGAGAATTGAAAATGGCGGCCGGGCACGGTGGCTCACACCTGTAATCCCAGCACTTTGGGAGGCCGAGGCGGGCGGATCACGAGGTCAGGAGATGGAGACCATCCTGGTTAACACGGTGAAACTCCGTCTCTACTAAAAATACAAAAATTAGCCGGGCGTGGTGGCGGGCGCCTGTAGTCCCAGCTACTCAGGAGGCTGAGACAGGAGAATGGCGTGAACCCGGGAGACGGAGCTTGTAGTGAGCCGAGATCGCGCCATGGCACTCCAGCCTGGGCGACAGAGCGAGACTCCGTCTCAAAAAAAAAAAAAAAAAAAAAAAAAAGAAAATGGTTTATTAGCATGAAAGCCTAAGAAAGCAGAGGCCACGTGCCAAAGCATGAATCATGCATTAAACTCATGGAAAGTGCTGCCATTTTAGAAAGAGTGGGAGGCAAGTCTGCTAGTTATCTTTTTTTTTTTTTTTAGAGACAGGGTCTCACTGCGTCACCCAGGCCGCTCTGGAGTGCAGTAGTGCCATCACGGCTCACTGCAACCTCAGTCTCCTGGGCTCAAGTGATCCTCCTGCCTCAGCTTCCCAAGTAGCTGGGACTATAGGCATGTGCCACCACACCCACACATAATTTTTATTAATTTTTTTGTAGAGACCTGTGTTTCTCTGTGTTGCCCAGGTTGGTCTTGAAATCCTGGGCTCAAACGATCCACCCACCTCTGCCTCCCAAAGTGCTGGGATTACAGGTGTGAGCCACCCCACCCAGGTTGCTGCTAATTTTCTGTATGCACACAGTAGAGGCTCACTCGGGACTACAGGAAGTGCCACCCCGAGCCCACTTCCTCACCACAGGCCTTTATCCCTTACCTTTTTATCTTTTCTTTTTTTTTTCTTTCTTTTCTTTTTTTTTTTTTTTTTTTTTTTTTTTTGTGACAGAGCTTTTTGCTCTTGTTGCCCAGGCTGGAGTGCAAAGGCACGATCTCGGGGCTCACCGCAACCTCTGCCTCCTGGGTTCAAGCGATTCTCCTGCCTCAGCCTCCCGAGTAGCTGGGATTATAGGTGCCCACCACCACGCCCGGCTAATTTTGTATTTTTAGTAGAGACGGGGTTTCTCCATATTAGTCAGGCTGGTCTCAAACTCCCGACCTCAGGTGATCCACCTGCCTCAGCCTCCCAAAGTGCTGGGATTACAGGCGTGAGCCACCACGCCCAGTCTATCCCTTACCTTGAATTTTCCTCCCCTCTACTGTCCTAGCCAGACCACACTTACCTGGGTCATGAAAAGGCACCAGGACATAGTGGACAGGCTCCATGGGGCTGCCTCTCCGCTGCTCCACAAGGTGGCGAGCCTGGATTTTGGCAGCGTTGATCTCCTCACCCATGCTGCCCGTGGTGTCCAGGACAAAGCTCAGGCTGGAGGCTGGGGTGATGTCCAGCAGCCTGGGGAGCAAGCCAGAGACACAGTGAAGGGCCTGCACGTTTGTCCCCAGCGCCTGGTTTCTCCCTTCCCGCAGGAGCGCCTCCCCATGAAGGGGTCCATCCCCAGGAGGCCACTCACCTGGAGAAATCCCTGTCTCCCAGGCGGCTTCGCAGAAGGCTGAAGGCCTGGATGGAGGCTAGAAGGGCCAGTTTTGCAGCCTGGAGGTGCAGCATGTGGTGAGGGGAGAAGCCTGGGGATGTGCTGTCCTTGTTGATGCCTCCCCTCGGTGGCTGGGAGCTGCTCCGGTCAAAATGGCCCCCGTGGCTACATTTCCCTGGGTTGGGGAAAGGGATCTGGAGAGTGGAGGTCAAAAACCCACTGCCTCCTAAGAAAATGAGGCCCTTTCAGGCCTGGCCTGACCCTCTCACCCCTCAGCAAGGGTTCAGCAAGAAATGATGACGGGGTTGGCGCGGTGGCTCACGCCTGGAATCCCAGCGCTTTGGGAGGCCGAGGCCGGCAGATCATCTGAGATCAGGAGTTCAAGACCAGCCTGGCCAACATGGTGAAGCTCTGTTTCTACTAAAACTATAAAAATTAGCCAGGTGTGGTGGCGCGTGCTTGTAATCCCAGCTACTTAGGAGGCTGAGGAAGGAAAATAGCTTGATCCCAAGAGGCGGAGGTTGCAGTGAACCGAGATCACGCCACTGCACTCCAGCCTGGGTGGCAGAGCAAGACTCGGTCTCAAAAAATAAATAAATAAATAAATGATGGCTGGGCATGGTGGCTCACACCAGTAATCCCAGCATTTTGGGAGGCTGAGGTGGGTGGATCACCTGAAGTCAGGAGTTTGAGACAAGCCTGGCCAACATGATGAAACCCTGTCTCTACTAAAAGTACAAAATTAGCCGGGCGTGGTGGCACATGCCCGTAATCCCAGCTACTCGGGAGGCTGAGGCAGGAGAATCGCTTGAACCTGGGAGGCGGAGGTTGCAGTGAGCCGAGATCGTGCCACTGTACTCCAGCCTGGGCAAAAAGAACAAAACTCCATCTCAAAAAAAAAAAAAAAAAAAAAGGATAAAAAGGATGGTGCTTTGTGGAGGGGAATTCTGGAGTAAATCTTAGGGCGTGGTGGTCAGTCACCACAGCACATGGTGGATCCCCTGATCCCTCCAGCCAGTCCCCCAAAACTGCCTATGACAAGGGAGAAATCCTATCAGCGGAGGAAGAAGTTGCTCCCCTACCTCAACCCCACCACAGCCTCCTCAGGGGACTTTCCTCCACCCACCCTGTTCCCAGCATCCTCTCCTCCTAGGAGGAGATGCCATAGCAAAGGCATACGGGCCTACAGGACAGAGATCCTGTAAGGGAATGACTTTCTCCCCTTACTTCTGGGGAACTTTCTTGTCTGGTACCTGGAGGTTTCGGGGGATGAGTTCCAAAGTAGCCAGAGGTGAGGAGTGTGAAGCCCAGCCAATTCCTGGGGCAGCTCAACTCCTCGCAATCGGAGCAGGTAGGATCGGCCACTGGGAAGAGAGGGCAGGGCTAGAACCCAAGATTCTGCCACCCCCAGCCTTTATCCCCACCCACCCAAACCTTTTCAGCTTCTCCTCCCAGCTGGGATGAGGCGAACACCCAGAAGTTCCCTAGCAAAGCTTTCTGAACTAAAACCTAGGATCATGGGCCCGCAGTGAGCCTGAATGTTTGAAACTAGGGCTGTGCTGGAAAACACAGCACAGGCTGGGTGCGGTGGCTCACGACTGTAATCCCAGCACTTTAGGAGGCTAAGGCGGGCAGAGCAGCCTGCGCCACACAGTGAGACCTCATCTCTAAAAAATAAATACATAAATAAATAATAAGAAAAAAACAAACACAGTACGTGTAGGGACCAATCCTATGGGGATTATGCCCTCTGTGAGTTGTGGACAGGAGGCAGCTTCCAGGTGAGAGGGTGAGGGGGCTGTGAGAGAAGGCCCCATGGGAGTCAGTGCGGGGAGGAAGCCACACTTAAGACGGGACTGAGGTCTGGAGACCTGGTCCTAGCTACTTTTCCCTGTGTGACCTTGGGGAAGCTGCTTAACTGAGCCAGGCGTTGCTTGGACTGGGGGACCTCAGTCCTTGTGGAGATTAAGTAACATCATACCCTCTGGGACTTCAGAATGTGACACAGTGGCTGGGTGGACTGAGGTGGCCCTGTGGACTCCTGCCTCACCACCAGGGTCACAGCCATACCTTGTGCCAGGTTCTGGAGCTCCTGCCTTGGCCAGAGGAGGTGAGGGTGTGGCTGCTGCTCGCCCAGCTCCACCCAGTTGCTATGACTGTAGAAATCCTGGTCCGGAGGACAGGAGAAGGGGAGTGAGGCACTAGTCTGGCCTTTCTCACCATCTCCAGCACTAATATGCCACTCCTTTGAGTTCCCCATCCCGAAAGTCCCCTCCCACCCCTACTGCTCCCACCAGACACCCCAAGTCCCCTCCACTGCCCTCTCTCCATTGCTCAGAGCAGAGCTTTGCCCAGGTGGAAACTGTCCCAGCATCTCTTCCCAGCTCAGAGTCTAACCCAAGGCCTCTCTCGGCCTGCAGAGTCCTGCTGCGTGTGCTGCTCCCTCAGCTCTCTGACCTCGCAGCCTTCCTCTCTCACCCTCACTTCTCTCCAGCCACAGCGCCCTCCTTGCTGTTCCTACAGGAAGCACTGCCAGCTTGGAGGTGGGGAACTGGGACACAGCCTCGGGGCACCGCGTGCCAGTGCCCACCCCTTCCAGAGTGGAGGAGACATGATCAAGAAGGCACCATAGGACGCGCTCCATCCCGGACAGGCACGGAAGTGAAGACCCCTCTGACCATCAACCCAACCCTGTTCTCACCTGCAGGGCATGAAGTGCAGCCCCGAGGCGCTGGCGAGCCAGGGTGTGGTCAAGGGCCCTGGCTGCCACCACGGTCTCCCGCAGAGCCCCTACCAGGCGCGCGCGTCCCTGACCCAGTCGCTCAGCATCAAAGTGCAGGTCGGGGTCATTCCTGGAAGTTGGCAGGAAGTCCTGGGCTGCATTGGCACGAGACACCTCACCTAAGGCTGCTCGGAACCGCCGAGAAGAACCAGGTCCAAAGTAGGCGGCAAAGAGGTCATCAGCAAGGAGTGTTCGACCCTGGGGAGAATAGCGGGCGACGGGGCTCCAGGGAGGCCCTTTGGATTGACTGTTGCCCACCTTATCTCAGCAACTGACACTCAAGGCTGGGTATGAGGGTCCTGAGCCCCACAAAGGAGGGACAGTCCCGGACCTTTCTAAGGAGGGGGACTCCTAATTTCAGGACCAAGACTACTGGGTATTATTGCTGCAGGGGTGGGGCCATGGGTGTCTCTTCTCTTGGCAACCAGAGCCCTCAAGGAGTAGAGGCCCCATGGAATTGGGGACTCTGGCAGGGGTGTGACAGGACCCTGGGATGCTCACCAGGAAGTCCTCAAGACGAAGAGGGGGGCGGCCTGGGGGTGGCTGCTCCAGGAAGAGCTGCAGGGTGACGTTGAGCGCTGCCTCCTCAGTTAGGTCTTGGTGGGTGATGGAGCCAGGGGCAGCCAGCAGGCTCCAGATGTTGGGGAAGAAGGCAGATGTGGGGGGCAGCAACAGCTGCAGCAGAAGCAACGCTGAGGGGCCCGGGTGGGATTGGGGGACCTCCGTGGGGAGCATGGCTGAGACATGGACCTGGGAGACAGAAGGCTCTCAAGGGAGGAGGAAGCAGCCGCGATTCCAGGGCAGGCCGGCTCTGCGGGTCTCCATGGGAACCTGCTTTACCTCAAAAGTCGTGTCTGCTCCAGCCTGGCTTCCCCACCCTCTCGCTGTCACCCAGACAACCTGAGGGCCTCATCGGACCATTAGGGACATACACACCTGCCAGGAGAGGGGTCCAAGGTTCCTCCCCCACGCCCCCCTCCCCAGTCCCTGGCTGCGTCCCCAGCCCTGCCGCAGAAACACTCCCCATGCTCAGGAAGCCTGAGTCCTCTCAGGCCCTCCCCTACCTGGTTGCTGGGTCTCCTGGGCAGGGCTGGCCCGGGCTTGACGTCACAGGGCACTTAGGTCAGAGTTATAATTAACCGAGGCTCAGCAGAGGGGGAGGAAGGCCTCAACAGGGTGGGGGAGGACAGGCAACCCCTGGCCCTTTCGCTCCTGCCTGCCCAAAGCCACAGGCAGCAGCCCACGCCAGGGCGGGCCTCCCTTGGCTGCAGTGCGGAGGTGAGTGAGAGCTGGGGAGGAGGAAGGGAGTAAGCAGCGTGACTCAGGCCTGGCACAGTGCCAGGGACAGACCCAGATAGACGCACCCCTCTGCCCTCCAGAACCAGGGCCTCACTCCCACCCTGCAGCCCCCAAGGATTCAGGCACCCAGCCCCTCTGCTCCCCTCTCTGCCCCCACCACAGATGACAAGAGGATTTTGTGGGAAAATATTTTATTGCTGCCATCCCCATGGTGAGCCGCTGGGGGTGAGGGGTGAAGCTGGGTGGTGGATCACAGCATCTTCTGGAATAGGGCGATGGCCTCATCCACCTTCCTGAGCTCTGCTTCTGTCTGTTGGAGCTGGAGTGGAACCAGGGGGTGGGTGAGGACCCAGGTCCAAGTGAAGAGACCCCCAAACACCCAGGACAACAAAGTTGGAAAGATGAGCGAGGACCATGGGAGGTCAGTAGCTCAGAGGAGGCGTGAACCTGGCTGGCCTGGCTCCCCACCCATTCCCACCAGCACCCCCACTTCCACCACCACCTCTTGGGTCTTGCCTTTTTCCACCAAGTGGTGAGTCCCCAAGAACAAAGGAACCTCAGAGCCTACGTGTTCCCCATTCAGTGTCCCCACCTAAGCAGGAGAGCACAGTCTCCCAGGCCGGTCACTTCATTTGTCAGATGATGATGATGATATTGCCCCCCTCCCAGGGCTCTTGGGAGAACCAAGTGAGATTAACCACGTCCACTCAAGGCTCTCTAGCTCTTGGCCTCCATGACTGGTTTTCTCTGTGTCTGTGCAGTTTACTCCACTGCTTCTCTCTGGCGGAACCCAGGAGGCAGGGGACAAACAAGACTGGCCTTCCAGGGTCAGCCCAGTAGGCTTGAAAGTAAGTGGTGGGAGGCCCAGGGCTCCCCGACTACATGTGGACCCCAAGCCCAGCCCCAGGCATGCAGGTTTCCACATTTTGGGCAGCTGGGTGGGGTACGAAGGGTCTGGCTGGGAGATAGGATGCCTGGTTCTAGGTCAGCCTCCGTCTCCCACCTGTTGTGTGACCCTGGGTTGTGCCCAGCCCCCAGCTGCTCCCCATGTGTAAGGGGAGGGCCTTCTATGGTCCCTGCTCAAAGCGCCTGGGCTCCATGCTCCCCAGTGGATTCCCCAGGGTTGGGTACAGAGTCCAGCTTCCAGACCAGGATTGGTTTTTGTTTTGTTTTGTTTTTTTTCCAGACAGGGTCTTCTCTCTGTTGCCCAGGCTCAAGTGCAGTGGCATGATCTCGGCTCACTGCAGTCTTGACCTCCCAGGCTCAAGCAATCCGCCCACCTCAGCCCCCCGAGTAGCTGGGACCCCAAGTGTGTGCCACTATGGCCAGCTAATTTTTGTATTTTTGTTGTAGAGATGGGATTTCACCATGTTGGCTGGTCTCAAACCCCTGGGCTCAAGTGATCCACCCACCTTGGCCTCCCAAATTTCTGGGATTACAGGTGTGAGCCACTGAGCCAGGCTGTTTTGTTTTTTAAGGCTAGTGGGAGTGGAGAAGGAACAAAGAAATCTGTAACTGGTTACGATCAATTAGTTGTCAACACCACTGCACTCGGACCAGCCCAGACCAGGGTTTTGATGGAGGAAGGGGATGGTGTGGGAAATGCCCACCCAGGCCACACACCTTGGCTTCATCTGCCTCCTGGACTTCGAGCGGCACCTTGACAGGATAGCCCGAGGCAGCACGGCGTTCCCGCAGACGCTGGGCCTGCCGCTGGGCCTCAACTCGCTTGGCTTGCAGCTTGCCCAGCTCCCGTGCAGGGTCCACCAGCCCCTGAAGCTGCAGGTGGATGGAGCAGCGATCAGAAGCCAGAGCCACAGCGCAACCCTGGGGGGCGGGAGCCCCCAGGGCCAGAACAGCCACCACACCTGCGCTGGCCAGGGCCTGCACGTAGCCCGACACCGCCGATGCCAGGGCGCCCGTGGCCTCATCCGCCACTTCCAGGAAACCTGCCAGGGAGGGAGAAAGGTGAGGCCTAGCTCCATGGAGACAGGAAACCAAGCAGTCACTGCCGGACACTGGGTCCCAGAGTAGGCTGAGGGGACAGTGGGATGGGGCGGACATGGGGGCCTGAGGCTCACAGTCAGGCCGGATCCGGGTGAGGTTGTAGTCGGCCCGCAGGGAGCGCACGGCTCGCGTGATGCTTAGCGCCAGCTCAAGGGCGGCTTCTGCCTCGGGGTCCTTCCAGGAGCACTGTGGGGTGGAGGAGGGGGTGAGGGGGCCTGGAGGGCAGGTCAGACTCCCCTCTCCAGGCCATGCCATACCTCTGAGGGCTCCGGGTAGGGGGTAACACAGAGGCTAGGGGGAGCTTGCGGCATCCTCCGGGGCAGCCTCTGGAACAGCTCCTCCGTCACGAAGGGCATGAAGGGTGAGAGCAGCCGCAGGCCAACGTCCAGGCAAGTGTACAGGGTCTGGCGGGCACACTCAGCTGCCACCTGGTCCACCCCATTCAGTACAGGTTTCAGGCACTCCTAGGGGACGAGAGGTACAGGGCTCACGGCTGGAGGTCTAGCCTTGAGCCCTCGCTGTGCCTGTGAGGACTGGGAAGGGGATGGGTTGGCTTAGGTCTCAAGGCCAACTCTGGCAAAACTGAGCCCAGGGCTCTGCTGCCCACCTGCCCCCACCATCCCCTGCCCCGCTGTGCTCCTTCTCACCAAGTAGACATCACAGAGCTCATAGAGCCAGAAGCTGTACTGGGCAGTGGTGACGGCCGGGAAGTCGTAGGCCTGGAAGCCTTGATTGCTGAGCCTCACAGCCTCTGTCAGGCGGCTGCGGATCCAGCGGTCCACCAGGCTCTCATGGCCTCCGGGCTTGGGGAGAGAGGGTGTATCAGCCGGCGGGCCAGGGGAGGGTGCCAGAACCCCATGGGGGCAGGAGTCATGGGCAAATCTTCATCCAGAGTCTGATGAGTCCAAAGCAACCACCTATGTGCCAGGATCTGGGAAGAAGTGACAGGCCCCAGCCCCCAATGCGCTGGGCTTTCCCTTTAACTGTCTGTCTCTGTGTCTATCTGTCCCCCCAGCTACATGGAGGCTGCTCCGGACAGGGGTACAGCCTGTGTGAGTGCTGCCAGCTTTGCTGCCCACCAGGCCCTTACCTGGGAGGTGGGTGAGGGCACAAAACCCTTCCCAAGGCCACGAAGGGCAAACTTGGTGGCATTCCAGAGCTTGTTGCAGAAGTGGCGGTAACCCAGTATCCGGTTCACATCCAGGTTGATGTCACGACCTGGGTCGGGGGTGAGATGTGAGTCCTCATCACCCTCTTCCCAGCCCATGCCCACCAGAGGCTCAGGGTGGAGAAGAGGGATGGGCCTCACAGAAGGAGGAAGGAGTGGCTGGGAGGGACGCTTTGGGGGCCATACCCTGGGACATGTAGGCACATAATCCAAACCGGAGAGCATCGGTGCCACATTCAGGAATCCCCGCTGGGAAGTCAGCTTTCTACAGGGAAGAGGCAGGGGGAGGAGCGTCCTCAGCCAGCCCCATCCACGCTGTGCTCCTGCTTAGCCCAGCCCAACCCTCCATACCTGCCCTTCTTTGGCCTTCTCCACCTCGCTGGGATCCAGGTTGCTGTTCAGCAGCTGGTTGTGGAGGCCCTGAGGGTGGAGTGGGAGCAGTCAGGTGGCTGTGACCACAGCCCCACGGCCCTTCCTGGCTGGCCCAGCACCCAGCCCACCTGCAGGGAGATTCCATAGATGACGTCCAGGGGATCGATGACATTGCCTAGAGACTTGCTCATCTTCCGGCCGTGAGCATCTCGCACGATGGCATGGAGGTAGACCTGCAGAGCAGGTGGGGAGGCCCATGAGACTCAGTCCTCTCCTTCCCCGGCCTCAGTGCCCCGACCAGGACTGTGTCTGGTCTACCCCACTGTGAACCTCAGGTCCCACTGAGTGTCCCCAAGAGCTCGTTGAGCGCCTTTATGTGAATCAGAAGCACTCCTTCCTCTGGGAAGATGAAGCCCTGGGCACAGGAATCACTGAGCAGGGCCCAGGCTGGATTTCAACCCCACACCAGCCCCCGGGTCAGGCCTGCCCACAGCTAACCCCATGCCCCAGCCACGCGGGGTCTGCGCTGCAGCACAGGACGGTAGGAGAGGAGGCTGGGGGCGATGGGAGGGTCTCGGCTGTCTCCGCACCTCTCTAAAGGGCAGCCTGCCCGTGAGCTTCAGGCCCAGCATGACCATCCGGGCCACCCAGAAGAAGAGGATGTCATGACCGGTCTCCAGCAGTGTCCCGGGGTAGAACACACTCAGGTCTTCTGACTGAGGGCAGACCAGGGTGTGAAGGGGAGCCAACACCCACCCTCCAGTCCCCTGTCCCGCCAAGCCCCGGCCCCAGGAACACACCTGGTTGGGCCAGCCCAAAATGGATAAGGGGAAGAGGCCAGAGGAGAACCAGGTATCCAATACATCCTCATCTGAGAGAGGCCAAAGGTCAGAGGTCAGAGGGAGTGGAGCTCTGCCCCCCACAACTCCCTCCAGACCCTCAAAGCCCCGCCTTGCCTTGCTGGAGACTGATCTTGTCAGGGGACACTCCGAACTCCTTGGCTGCCTTCTCCCGGGCCTCCGCCTCATTGCGTCCACTCACCCAGTACCGCCCATCAGGGTCCTGCCACAGGTGCAGTGATTACCCAAGGGGGTGTGTCTGCTTCTGGCTCACCCTGCCCCTCCCCCCACCAAGGACCCAGTAAACCCACCACTCCAGCAGGGTGTCCCAGCAGCTAGCTCTGGCCCTCTGCTCACCTCCCCAGGGGGCACCGCTGGGTCACTGACAGTGACAAAGTAGGCTGGGATGCGATGGCCCCACCACAGCTGCCTGGAAATGCACCACTCCCTGCAAATGTCGGGGAGGAGAAATCAGGGAGGGCCTGATGGAGCCTGGCCCGAGTGAGCCCTGCTCAGCCCTCGGCAAGCCCCTCCCACACTGAGGACCCTACACACCGGATGTTGTCCATCCAGGCATGCCATGTGCGCTGATGGGCCTCAGGCAGGATGCGGAGGTCACCCCGAGTCACAGCGGCGCTGGCAGCCTGGGCCATCTCCCCGCAGCGAACGTACCACTGCGGCCGCAGCAGAGGCTCTACCACGTCCTTCGACCGGCTGGGGGTACACGTAGGTGAGAAGGCCAGGCGGTAAAACCCTGAGGAGCCCTCCATCTTCCTCCCGTCCCAGGCCCCCACCCTCACTTGCAAAGTGGCACCACCATGGGGTTGTCCTCAATGCCACGGAACAGTCCCCGCTCCTTCAGCGCCACCAGCACCGCTTTCCTGGCCTCAAACCTGGGCAGGCCCTGGGTAGGAATGAGGCCTCATCATGGCGATGCCCAGCCATCCCTCCATCTCCCTGACCCGGGCACTCTTGCCTCAGGCAGCCTCACCAGGAAAGGCGGAGGCACATTGATGAGGGCCCCCCGGGAGTCCATGATGCTGATGGCCTCCAGCCCGTGCCGCTGCCCAACTTCATAGTCATTTTGGTCATGTGCGGGGGTGATCTTCACAGCACCTGGGTGTACATCAGGATGCCCAGGTCATGAGGGACTCCACGGAGTTCCTTCCTACACTCACCTCTTTTGCTGAAGGATGTAGCTCCGAGACCACTCCTGGCCCCCACTTGTCTAATACAGTCCCTTGAGAACCACCCCAAGCTCTGTCTATTTGGCTGAAGCTTATTTTCTTTTTCTCTGAGAGAAGATGGACAGCTAGGGTGCAGCTCCAGTCTTTTCCTCTCCCCACAGGACCAGCCCCTTGCCCACCTGTGCCAAAGTCCATGTCCACAAATTCATCGAAGACAATGGGAAGGCTCCGAGACAGGAATGGGTGGATCACGTTCTTCCCCTTCAGGTGCTGGGGGCGGAAAGATACCAAAAACGCATGAAGCAGGGCCAGACGCCGTGATTCCCACCTGTAATCCCAGAACTTTGGGAGGCTGAGGTGGGCAGATCACTTGAGGCCGGGAGTTGGAGACCAGCCTGGCCAACATGGGGAAACCTAGTCTCTACTAAAAATACAAAAAAAAAATTAGCCAGGTGTGGTGACGCGTGCCTGTAATCTCAGCTACTCAAGAGGCTGAGGCACAAGTACTGCTTGAACCCGGGAGGTGGAGGTTGCAGTGAGCCAAGATGGTGCCACTGCACTCTAGCCTGGGCGATAGAGTGAGACCCTCTCTCAAAAATAAATAAATAAATAAAAGCATGAAGGGGCCTGGTGCCATGGCTCACATCTCTAACCCCCACACTTTGGGAGGCTGGGGCAGGAGGCTTCCTTGAGGCCAGGAGTTCAAGATCAGCATGGTTAACAGAGTGAGACCTTGTCTCTATTTAACTTTTTTTTTTTTTTTTGAGACGGAGTCTCGCTCTGTCACCAAGGCTGGAGTGCAGCAGAGTGATCTCAGCTCACTGCAACCTCCGCATCCCAGGTTCAAGCGATTCTCCTGCCTCAGCCTCCTGAGTAGCTGAGATTACAGGCACCCGCCACTACAACTGGCTAATTTTTTGTATTTTTAGTAGAGATGGGGTTTCACTATGTTGGCCAGGCTAGTCTCGAACTCGTGACCTTATGATTCACCTGCCTCAGCCTCCCAAAGCGCTGGGATTACAGGCATGAGCCACCGTGCCTGGCTATTTAACTTTTTAAAAATGCACGAAGGGCTGGGCCCAAGTCCTTCCTTTCCAGGGCCCTGACTATCCCAACACTTGAACTCCCCCAAACAGTCCCCAATAGCTCTACCCTCAGAGCTGGGAAAGAAGCTGAAGACCAGTTTCTAACCCAGTTTCCTCTCCTCAGCCAGGGGCCTAAGTCCAACCCCTCCACCCCATAAGGATGGGAGCCCTTTTTGGCCAGAACTCCTTCCCTAACTGTGGACAGTCCCCCACCTGGTATCTGGTATCTTTGGGGTGCACAGCTACAGCCACATCTCCCAGCATTGTCTCGATCCGAGTTGTTGCCACCACCACCTCCTCGTCGCTATCTGGGGTGACAGAAGGCCTTGTGGTCTTGGCCTTGGCCCCTTCCTGCCACTCCCAGCCCAGGATCCTGGTGCCCCTGGCTCCTACCTGAGCCTTGGACCTTATAGGCAAAGGACACGAGGACCCCGAACTCCACCTTCTCCTTGTAGCCAGGCACGGAGAGCAGGGTGCGACCTGTCAGCTCCTTCTTATCCACCTGTAAAATGGGTATTTAGAGGCGTGGCCCAGGGGCCAGGGCCAGGGCCAGGGTAGATTGGAGATGGAGACAGGCCAGGTTGGGGGGCGCACCTCAATGTCAGAGATGGCGGAGTTGAGGGTGCAGGACCAGTTAACAAGGCGGGTACTGCGATAGATGATGCCTTCCTCGTGAAGCCGGACAAAGGCCTCTGTCACAGCTGCTGAGAGTTTCTGGGGTGGAGGAGGGAGAAGTCAGAGAGATGGGCCTTGTGCCTGGAGGCCCAGGCAGACACCCAGGGCTCCAGTGAGGCCTTGCCCATACAGAGTCCCACTGGCCAGCACAAAGACCCCTCTGAGGGGAGTACTTTCCTTCTTTCCTTGAGGGGGAGAGAGGACTAAGGGAACACAAGAGCAGGCAACAAGCCTTGTAATGCTGCAGATGGCGAGGAAGACAATCAGCTGGGGACAAGTACTGGTGCAGAGGACACTGGGAGTTCAGGCTCCATGGGAGACGGGGTCCTGATCATGTGCCATCTGGAGGAATCTGGAGCTCCCAGAGCCAAGACAGGGAACATGAAGGGCCATGATATGGAAAGGGCCATGGCGAGGGGTGGGAAGTGGCATTTGCAGCTGAGCCCTCCATGGTGTTTTACATGGGCCAGCTCCTGAGAGAGGGCCACAACACCTCTGCTTTCTCCTGTGGGGGTCCCACCCTGGGGAGACTCCTACTCCTGCCCCAGCTTTGACACTCCTCCCACGCACAGGGTCCATGGTGAAACAGGCTCGATCCCAGTCCAAGGAGCTGCCAAGCTTCTTCAACTGGTGGTAAATCCGGTCACCTTTCCTGGAAGCAGACAGGCTGAGGTCAGCACTCGTGCCTGGGCTAGAGGGAGACATCAGGTGGCTGACTGGGCAGTGTGGAGATCACCCATCCCCCTGAAATTTACCTGGGCCCTAGAGCCAACTGACTCTGCCTCTGTGGGAGGGTCTGACCCTGTGGCCAAGGGGTTACAGGTGACAGAGGTCTTCTGGATAGGGGACAGGGAGGCAGGGCTGCGATGCCCACAGGGATGCTGCATACTCACTCCTCCTTCCACTTCCAGACTTCCTGTAGAAAGGCCTCGCGGCCCAGCTGGTGCCGGCTCAGTCCCTGCTCACGCCATAGCTTCTTCTCCACCACCACCTGGGTGGCAATACCTGCATGGTCACAGCCAGGGTTCCACAGGGTGGTCTCCCCACGCATGCGGTGCCTGTTAGGGGGCATGGAGGACCAGAGGGTGAGCCAGGCCAGTGGGGCCTGGCACCAAAGAAAGCAGAGGCTTCAGGCAAGGAGTCAGTGGACTAAATAAAGAAGCAGGGAGGCCGGACGCGGTGGCTCACGCCTGTAATCCCAGAACTTTGGGAGGCTGAGGTGGGTGGATCACCTCAGGTGGGGGAGTTCGAGATGAGCCTGGCCAACATGGTAAAACCCCGTCTCTACTAAAAATACAAAATTAGCTGGGCATGGTGGCATGCGCCTGTAATCCCAGCACTTTGGGAAGCCGAGGTGGGTGGATCACCTGAGGTGGGGACTTCAAGATAAGCCTGGCCAATATGGTAAAACCCTGTCTGTATTAAAAATACAAAATTAGCTGGGCGTGGTGGCATGTGCCTGTAATCCCAGCTACTTGGAAGGCTGAGGCAGGAGAATTGCTTGAACCCGGGAAGCAGAGGTTGCAGCAAGCTGGGATCATGCCATTGCACTCCAGCCTGGGTGACAGAGTGAGACTCCGTCTCCAAAAAACAAACAAAAAAAAAAAGAAAGAAGCAGGGGTGGAGCTGGAACCCTTGTGATTCTAAAGCTAGTCAAGGAGAAAAGATTTGAAGGAAGAGCCAAGGCAATATGGAAAAAGAACAAAGACAGGCATGCGTGGTGGCTCACACCTGTAACCCCAGGACTTTGGGAGGCCAAGGCGAGTGGATCACTTGAGGACAGGAGTTCGAGACCAGCCTGACCAACATGGCAAGACCCTGTCTCTACCAAAAATATAAAAATTAGCCAGGATGGTGGTGCATACCTGTAATCCCAGCTACTTGGGAGGCTGAAGCACGAGAATCGCTTGAAGCTGGGAGGGGGAGGTTGCAGTGAGTTGAAATTGTGCCACTGCACTCCAGCCCGGATGACAGAGTGAGACTCTGTCTCAAAAAAAAAAAAAAAAAAAAAAAAAAAGAACGAAGAGGAGGCTCCTGCCAAACAGGATAGCAAAAGTTCTAATTGTTAAAATAAGTTACTAAACAGGAACAAAATAGTACCTGGAAACAGATACAAGCAAATTTAGTGTTTGTGAAAGTTGGCACTTCCTATCAGTAAAATAAGGATAAACTATTCAAAATGTTTGAAACAACTAGCTAATTATTTGGAAAAAATCTCCCCCTTACCAATAGTCACAAAAAGAAACTTTAGATAGATTAAAGAATTCAAGCCAGGCACAGTGGCTCAAGCCTATAACCCCAACACTTTGGGAGGCCAAGGTGAGAGGACTGCTTGAGCCCAGGAGTTGCAGACTAGCCTGGGCAACATAGTGAGACCTAGTCTCTGCAAAAAAAAAAAAAAAAAAGCCAGGCATGGTGGCGTGCACCTTTGTTCCCAGCTACTTGGGTGGCTGAGGTTGAGGCTGCACCAAGCTATGATTGTGCTGTGATCATGCCGATGCACTCCAATCTGGCCAACACAGTGAGAGAGACTCTGTCTCAAAAATAAATAAATAAACAAATAAATAAAAATAAAAAGTTGATATAACTCTATTCCATTAAAGTAATGGGAGTGTCTCACATTTTATTTAAACCACGTTCACTGGAAAAAAAATGTGGCTACCTTAAGAGTTTTATAAGAAGTATGTGGCCAGGCACAGTGGCTCACACCTGTAATCCCAGCACTTTGGGAGGCCGAGGCAGGCGGCTTACTTCAGGTTAGGAGTTCAAGACCAGCTTGGCCAACATGGCAAAACTCTGTCTACTAAAAATGCAAAAGAATTAGCTGGGCGTGGTGGTGCGTGCCTGTAGTCCCAGCTACTCAGGAGACTGAGACACAAGAATCGCTTGAACCCAAGTGGTTGAGGTTGCAGTGAGACGAGATCGCGTCACTGCACTCCAGCCTGGGCGACAGAGCGAGACTCTGTCTCAATTAAAAAAAAAAAAGTAGTCATTCTGTTTTCATGTAAACAAACTTGGAGGCCAGGTATGGTGGTTCATGCCTGTAGTCCCAGCACTTTGGGAGACTGAGGCAGGAGGATTGCTTGAGCCCAGAAGTTCAAGACCAGCCTGGGCAACATAGCGAGACCCTCTCTTGATTTTATTAAAAAATTGAAAAACAGGGCCGGGCGTGGTGGCTCACGCCTATAATCCCAGCACTTTGGGACGCCGAGGTACGCGAATCACGAGGTCAGGAGATCGAGACCATCTTGGCTAACACGGTGAAACCCCGTCTCTACTAAAAATACAAAAAAAATTAGCCAGGCGTGGTGGTGGGCTCCTATAGTCCCAGCTACTCAGGAGGCTGAGGCAGGAGAATGGTGTGAACCTGGGAGGAGGAGCTTGCAGTGAGCAGAGACTGCGCCACTGCACTCCAGCCTGGGTGACAGAGCAAGACCCCATTTCCAAAGAAAAAAAAAAAATTGAAAAATTGAAAAAACAAAAACGCAAACACAAACGCAAACAACTTGGCCATTGTATGTTATGTGTATTTAACAGAACTGTTGGCTGGACGAAGTGGCTCATGCCTGTCATCCTAGCACTTTGGGAGACCGAAGCGGGAGGATCACAAGGTCAGGAGCTCGAAACAAGCCTGACCAACATGGTGAAACCCCGTCTCTACTAAAAATACAAAAATTAGCCAGGTGTGGTGGCATGCGCCTGTAATCCCAGCTACTCAGAAGGCTGAGGCAGGAGAATCGCTTGAGCTCAGGAGGCAGAGGTTGCAGTAAGCGCGCATCACTGCACTCCAGCCTGGGAAACCGAGAGAGACTCTGTCTCAAAAAAACAAAAAAAACAAAAAAAAAAACAGGCCAGGCGCGGTGGGTCACGCCTGTAATCCCAGCACTTTGGGAGGCCGAGGTGAGCAGATCATGAGGTCAAGAGATCGAGACCATCCTGGCCGACAGGGTGAAACCCTGTCTCTACTAAAAAAAATACAAAAAATTAGCCAGGCGTGGTGGCGGGCGCCTGTAGTCCCAGCTACTCAGGAGGCTGAGGCAGGAGTATGCTGTGAACCTGGGAAGCAGAGCTTGCAGTGAGCCAAGATTGCGCCACCGCACTCCAGCCTGGGCGACAGAGAGAGACTCTGTCTCAAAATAATAATAATAATAATAAAAATAAAAAAATAAAACATATAACTGTTTTCCTAGCTCTCAGTTACTTGCAAAATGCACAATCAAACATTATATTCCCAGTGCTCAGAGCAGAGGTGGCACATAGTTGGGCCCAGTAAATATTTTTTGACCACATTAATTTAGTACATAAGACACCAGAAAAAATTCTCAAAATTTAAATATAATAAACCCTGGTTTCCAAAAATGGTAAAGTTATTTTAAAATACTTTTTAAAAAGATTTGTCACCTAGAATATTACTTTGTATTTATCACTAATTAAAATATTAACAGTGAAAACAAATAGTAACAGAAAACAGGAGAAACATTTACAATTAACAGGAAAACTACCACACAATAATACAACAAAAACATTTACAATATTTAACAAAAAAATTGATACCCAGAACAGGTAAAGAATTCTCAAAAAAAAAATTAAAAAGAAAAAGAACGAAGAATCAATAGAAAAACGGGGAAAAGATAGATACAGACAATTCACATATGGGTAAACCTGACTGGCCAAAAAACATGAAAATAGGCACAACTTCAATAGCAATCAGAAAGGTACAAAGTAAAACAACAGAGGTATTTTTTTGCCCATCAGATTGGCAAAACTAATTAGGCAACCCTAATGCTCAGGCTTAGCAAGGGTGGGGAAATGAACACTCTCACAGCAATTCCTGGAGGTATCAATCAGCAAAGCCATTCTGCAGGGCAACTTGGCAGCTTCCGTTTGTACTTAATATAGGTGTGCCCCTGCCGACCTAGCAGTTTCACTTCTTGATAGCTACACCAGCGAAACCCTTCCACACATGCTTCAGCAAGCATATAGAGCAGGGGTATCCAATCTTTTGGCTTCCCTGGGCCACATGGAAGAATTGTCTTGGGCCACAGATAAAATACACTAACACTGGCTGGGAGCAGTGGCTCACGCCTGTAATCCCAGCACTTTGGGAGTCCGAGGCGGGCGGATCACGAGGTCAGGAGATCGAGACCATCCTGGCTAACATGGTGAAACCCCGTCTCTACTAAAAATACAAAAAAAAAATTAGCCGGGCGTGGTGGTGGGCACCTGTAGTCCTAGCTACTTGGGAGGCTGAGGCAGGAGAATGGCGTTAACGTGGGAGGCGGAGTTTGGAGCTTGCAGTGAGCCGAGACTGTGCCACTGCACTCCAGCCTGGGTGACAGTGCAAGACCCGTCTCAAAAAATAAATAAATAAATAAATAATAAAAATAAATTTAAAAAAATACACTAACACTAACGATAGCTGATGAGCTAAAAAAAAAAAATCGCAAAAAAATTCTTAAATGTTTAAACAAAGTTTACAAATTTGTGTTAGGCTGCATTCAAAGCCGTCCTGGGCCGCATGTGGCCCACAGGCTGCAGGTTGGACAAACTTGATATACAGGGATGTGCATTAGAGTAAGGTTTTCAACAGAAAAAAAACAAAAAACAAAAAACAGAATGAATCATTAATTAAAAAGTGACTCCAGGCCGGGAGCAGTGGCTCACGCCTGTAATCCCAGCACTTTGGGAGGCCGAGGCAGGCAGATCACCTGAGGTCAGGAGTTTGAGACCAGCCTGGCCAACATGGTGAAACCCCATCTCTACTAAAAATACAAAAATTAGCCAGGCGCGGTGGCAGGTGCCTGTAATGCCAGCTACTTGGGAGGCTGAGGCAAGAGAATCGCTTGAACCTAGGAGGTGGAGGTTGCGGTGAGCCGAGATCATGCCACTGTACTCCAGCCTGAGCAAAAAGAGTGAAACTCTGTCTCAAAAAAAAAAAAAAAAAAAAAAAAAAAAGAATGACTTCACTATGGTACAGCCACACTATGAGATATTATGGAACAATTAAAAAGAAGGAAGTCAGTATGTGTGGTATGTGTGTAAGGACAAGGAAAGATCTCCAAGAGAAAGTATTAAGTGTAAGAAGAAAGCTAGATCATAACAAGTGTAATATGAACCCTTTATGTTAAAAAATAGAAAAGACTCACCCAAAAGGAGAACTATAAATTTCTATGGGTACGTGTATATGTAAGTAAATAGGAAAGATCTGGGAAGATACACATCAAAGTGATAACAATGGCTAAATCTTAGGAGGAAGTAGGTGTGGAGGGGGATGGTCAAGGAGATTTGAAACTTTAAATTTCTTACAAGAATATATTCATATATTTTGGTCAGTTGTGGTGGCGCATTCCTGTAATCCCAGCTACTTGGGAGGCTGAGGCAGGAGAATCACTTGAACCCAGGAGGCAGCGGTTGCCATGAGCCGAGATGGCGTCACTGCACTCCGGCCTGGGCAACAGAACAAGACTCTGTCCCCCCAAAAAAAAATATATATATTCATATGTTCCTAATTAAATTCAAAATAATGTTATTGTTACTAGAAAAAGAAGGGAGAGACTGGGTGTGGTGCCTCACACCTATAATCCCAGCACTCTGGGAGTCTGAGACAGGAGAATCACTTGAGCCAGGAGTTGGAGACCAGACTGAGCAACAAAGTGAAAACTCATCTTTACAAAAAATTAAATTAAATTAAATTAAAATTAAATAAAGAAAGAAGGGATAGAAGAGAGTCTGCAAGTGGCGGTGTTGCATGGGAGTACTGGACTAGGAGAGGAAGCTAAATGATCAGATTGGAATGACAGAGAGAAGTGTAGCACCACTGGGGGCAGAAGTGAGCACCAACCCAGAAGGAGAGAGGCTCGGGGGGCTGTCAGGGAAAAGGAGAGAGCCAGACTAGGCAGAGGGAACCAGAGGAAGGTGCAGATAGAAGCTCACCATCGAGTCAGGGAGTCCTGGATGGCGTTGGTGAGTGCATGGCCCAGGTGCAGGGAGCCTGTCACATTGGGGGGTGGGATGCACATCATGAAGACACCTCGGGGATTTGCTGCTGACACATTAGGACGCTGATGGTGGAGAAGGATGGCACATGTTTAAGGCCTCAGGTCACCTCTCCCAGCCCCTCCCAGGCAACACATCCTTCAGTCCTGCCCTTCCCCACCCCACCCACTCTGGGCCTGGGCAGCAGTGCCTACTCACCCCATACTCTGGCTTGAAGAAGCCCTGCTGCTCCCACCAAGGGTACCAGGCAGCCTCCACATACCGAGGGCTGTAGGAGTCGGGCATGGGGCCACTGACATCTGGGGGAGAGGAAGGGAGGGCTCAGTGCCGTGGCTGGGAGCACTCTGGGAAGGAGACGTGCTGGCAGAGAGGGATCGGGATCTCCGTCACTCACATCATAGGACAGGCATTTGAGGGGCCTAGAGGCAGGGCAGGGGGTCTGCAATTCCTCACCAAACAAAGTGGTGAGAGCAAGAATAGAGCAAGATAGGGTGAAAACTTAGAAGGGGCTGCTGAGGGGTGAGCCCCTTCCCACTCCTAGTACCTTTCTTTTCCCCGGGTGGGGTTGGGAGGTCATAGGTAATGACCCCAGGATCCCGTTTCTCCCTCTTCTCTGGTTTTGGTTTCTTCTGCTTGGGAGGGAGAAGACATAGGCCCAGGCATCAGCCAACCCATCACCGCACACATCAACTTTCCTTCCAGCTCCACCCTCGCCTCACCTCCCCTGGAGGTGGCTGCTGCTGTTGGATCTTCTGCTTCTGTTGGAATTTCTCTAGCTTCTCCCGTTTCTTTGCCTCTTTCTTGAGCTGAGCAGCTGTCTTTGGGAGGGCAGGAGCCTCGGGGCCTAGAGAGAGGTGCAGAAATTCAGACTCAGCCAGCTGGGGACCCTCTTGGACGGCCATACTAGGTTTCAGATGGGGTATTTTAGATGCCCGAGGTCTTGCCCATGCTGACCTCCCCCCTCTCCCTCCTCTCCCGCAGGACCCTGCCCCAGTGATTCTGCCATTTCTAGGAAAAAAAGAAAGTGAGTTGCATGGAAGGCCCCAGGGAAGCCCCTATCCTCCAACTCCTCGCCCTTCCTCACCTGGCTGATGAGAGAGAGGCCTGGCTCCTGAGTATAGAACCACTTCTCCTAGCACGGCTCGGAATTCTGGCTGCCGGACACACGTGACAAACCAGCGAGTCACATTATTCCAGATCCGGCGGGCAGGTGGGTCTAGGACCTGGAACAGGAAATAAATGACTCTTCTCAGTCACCCTACAGTGAGGTCTGAGGAGAGCAGTCTTGTTCTTCCCCAGGCCTGGTGACTCACGTATCGGAAAGGCAGCAGCAAGGCTGTGACAGCCGCCAGGTCAGCCAGAGTGGGGGCCTCCCCGGCCAAGTAGGTGTGCAGCCGAAGCCACTCCTCCAAGGGGCTCAGGGCCCTGCCCAGGGCCCCCAGCACAGCCTGGCAGGAAGGGGAAGAAGTGTGAGACAAGGTTTGGCCCACCTCCATCTCCCACCACAACCCAATCCATGTGGCCTCCCTCCACCCCACTCTCACAAATCACCACCTCTGAGTCCCATTTCTTCACTCAAATAGTCACAATAAAAATACTTCTGGGCGGATCACGAGGTCAGGAGATCGAGACCATCCTGGCTAACATGGTGAAACCTCATCTCTACTAAAAATACAAAAAAAAAATAGCCAGGCGTGGTGGCGGGCGCCTGTAGTCCCAGCTACTCGGGAGGCTGAGGCAGGAGAATGGCATGAACCCAGGAGGTGGAGCTTGCAGTGAGCCGAGATCACGCCACTGCACTCCAGCCTGGGCAACACAGCGAGACTCCGTCTCAGAAAAAAAAAAACAAAACACTTCTGACTCATCCAACAAATCCCTACTCAATACTTATGTGTTAGATGCAATATGTTAAGCATAGAAGTAAAGATTATATGAGGCATCTCAATAACTGCCAGGTTCAGAACATCAATAAATATGTATTAAGTACTTCTCCAGGGAATGAGAGGAAAACACGAACAGATGGACAGAACCCTGACCTGGTAGAGTTAACATTCTTGTAGGGGAACAACAAATGAGCAAATATAAAATGAAGTGCCCTATTTTTCTTAACTCCTATGAAGAAAAATAAAGCAGAATGAGGGGAACAGGGGCCAGGCGTGGTGGCTCACACCTATAATCTCAGCACTTTGGGAGGCCGAGGCGAGCAGACCATCTGAGGTTAGGAGTTCGAGACCAGCCTGGTCAACATGACAAAACCCCATCTCTACTAAAAATACAAAAAATTAGCCGGACAAGGTGGTGGGCGCCTGTAATCCCAGCTACTCAGAAGGCTGAGGCAGGAGAATCGCTTGAGCAGTGAGCTGAGATCGCACCATCGCACCGTGGCACTCCAGCCTGGGCAACAGAAGGAGATTCCGTCTCAAAAAAAAAAAAAAAAAAGAAAAGAAAAGAAATAAAAGAGGGGAACAAACAGGGAATTCCAGAAGAGAGGGACTCTATTTTATTTGTTTGTTTGGACAGACATTCTGAATGCAAGGACTCTATTGTAGATAGGGTGATCACAATATGAGGGAGCAAGTCAGGGTCTGCCACATTCATTCATCCATTCAAGAAATACTAATTTTCCATCATGTGCTCAATACCATGCAAGGAGGCAGAGTTGAAAGTACACCAAGGCACAGGTCTCCTTTGGAAGGACTGATAGTTACAATCTGGCAGGGTTATCTCTCCTCTCACTTACCTTCCTCATTTCATTTCTCTTTTATCTCCTCCCAGCAATTGTCATCTCTCCCTCACCCAGTCTTTTCCTACAATTCAAATAACTTCTATCCTCATCAATTTCAGACTCATCAAACTTTTACTAAGAGACTTTAAAAGTGCCTGGCACTAAACTATGTGCTCTGCGCACATCTTTTAATCCTATTAACTCAGTGAGGCAAGCATTACATCAACTTGCCTGCGTGTTCATAGACATAGGAAGACCAAGACACAGCGGGTCTATGAAACGTGCCCAGGGTTACCATACCAGTTGGCAATCTGGGATTTGATCACTCTTTTCCCACATCTGATGTACTACCTTCTTGTCTCATTGTCCATTCCAGTCCTCGCTTCCCTCCTCTGAATTTCTCCCCTCCCCCTCTTCTGTACAACCCCCTCACCTGGGGGTCCTGGGCCGAGCTTCGGAGTCCCAGGGCCGGCAGCGTTGCTCCACAGGCAGCTGGTATTAACTCCGTGTCGGCGTAACTGACCCACTGTTGGACAAGGACAGCCGCCCGGCTGCCCCCTGGGCCCCCCAGGCCTGCTGGCCACAGCAGCTGGGCCACAGCCGTGGCCCCCCACACCCAGAGCCCACCGGGCCCCTGCTCCAGGGCCGGCAGGCGGGGTGGGGGAAAGCTAGTCCTGCTAGTCGGGGGTGGCTGGAGACAGATGCGGGGGTGGGCTCCTCCCCATCCGGGACCCTCCCCAGCCTCCCCATAGCGAGCGGCTATGAGGGCTCGGAGGCTGGGGAAGGCATCTGGGTGAGGGGAGACGTAGAGGGTGGACATAGTTATGAGAAGGTCCGAACGAAGTGGAAAAACCTAAGGAGAAAGAGAGACAGGGGAAGACTGCGGGATCGAGGTGGGTCCTATGTTTGAGTAGAGAGGGGACCCTCACGGGAGCTCCTTCGCCGCAGACACCCGAGTCCCATAGGACTGAGGGTCTGACCAGGCAGGCTGTCAGGAGCCGAGGACCTGGCTCTCAGAGGGGCAGTGTCAGTGGGGAGTTCCTGGGGAAGAGGAACTATCCACCATCGCGGGGCTTCGGGGAGTGTGGAAGGCTCTCAGGAGCGGGTCGGCGTCTGGTTGGATGCGGGTTCGAGCCGCGTGTACGTACTGGAGGGAGATGGTCAGACTGGGCCGGGAATCCACCTCACAGCCAGGCGCCGGCCGCGGCTGGACCGGCCGAGCGGCCCGGGCGGAGGAGTCGAGCGGGCAGAGACGGTGGGCGGCTCTCCAGGTGACCCTAGTTCCCTAAGATCGCCGCCCCGGCAGCCGGCGCCCACGTGTTCCCCCCTTTGTGACAGGGAGCGTTTCCGGGCCTGCGGGTCCTGGCGGGGGCGGCCGTGCCCCGCCTGCGAGTGCGCGCCCGCCGTGTCCGACACTGCCCCGGGGGCCGCGCGGCTCGCCGCCCGCCGGTCTCACGAGGAACAGCGCGGGGCGCGGGGCGCTGGGCGCGGACGCAGGACGAGAGGACACCCCTGAGCACGACGCTCCCGTCAGGCGCCGCCACGGG
The DNA here is from genome assembly GCF_000001405.40 of Homo sapiens. Lineage (NCBI taxonomy): Eukaryota > Metazoa > Chordata > Mammalia > Primates > Hominidae > Homo > Homo sapiens. The sequence continues at coordinate 3,137,834 of NT_167247.2, forward strand.
CACCTTGTGCGGGTCCTCGGCCGGGTGGCGAGGGCGGCGCCCAGCGGGCAGCTAGGGAACTGGCCCAAGAGGGTCGGCCGGCCCTGCCGGTGGAGGGCGTTCCCCACCCGGTAGCGGGGAGGTGCCCAGCAGGGAGCCGCCTGATGAGGACCGAAGGGGAGGTCCATTTGCCGAGGCCCTGGCGTCCAGCTTCCTCTTTGAGCCTCATCTCCTCATGTATGAAAAAAGGGTGACGGCCGGGCGCAGTGGCTCACGCCTATAATCCCAGCACTTTGGGAGGCCGAGGTGGGCGGATCACCTGAGGTCAGAAGTTCAAGACTAGCCTGGCCAAGGTGGTGAAAGCCCGTCTCACGCCTGTAATCCCAGCACTCTGGGAGGCCAGGGCGGGTGGATCACCAGGTCAGGAGTTCAAGACCAGCCAGGCCAAGATGGTGAAACCCCGTCTCTACTAAAAATACAAAAATTAGCCAGGTGTGGTGGCAGGCGCCTGTAATCCCAGCTACCCCGGAGCCTGAGGCAGGGAATTGCTTGAACCCTGGAGGTTGAGGTTGCAGTGAACTGAGATCGTGCCACTGCACTCCAGCCTGGCGACAGAGCTGCAGTATTTGTAAAAATACAAAAATTAGCCAGGCGTGGTGGCACACACCTGTAAGCCCAGCTACTTGGGAAGCTGAGGCAAGAAGATCACTTGAACCTGGGAGGCGGAGATTGCAGAGCTAAGATCACACCACTGCAGTCCAGCCTGGGTGACAAAGTGAGACTCCATCTCAAAAAAAAAAAAAAAAAAAAAAAATTAGCCGGGCATGGTGGTGGGCATCTGTAATCCCAGCTACTCAGGAGCTGTGGCAGGAGAATCGCTTGAACCGGGAGGCGGAGGTTGCAGTGAGCCAGACCAAGCCAGTGCACTCCACCCTGGGCAACAGAGTGAGACTCCCGTCTCAAAAACAAAAAGGAGGGTCACACTAGATGGTCTCTAAGGGTCCCTTAAGGCTGAGAAGTCTCATCTGTATCATGAACTCATATTTGCTGAATGAGTGAATGAAGTTTAGTAATTCCCAGTCACAACTTTTCTCTAAAATATAAATTACATCACTTGTATTTATCTTCTATACATATTCAGAAAACATGAACTGATTTGGTTGGATTGGTGAAGTCTGGTAGCATGAAATGTATCTTATGACACTATCACATTAATGGAAGGACAGCAAGCACTCCAGTTGCAGGTATGGTATAAGCAAAAGGCCACAGGGAGAACATACAGGTAGGGACATGTTGGGGAAACATGGTGTAGAGCAACTGTATTATATGCTTTATACCAAGGAGAGTAGTGGGAAGCTGAGTTGGATTCTTGGCTGGGTTAACGCAGAGTAACAGGGGCTTGGATGAATTCGACATCCTTTTCCATGTCCCAGCCCCCTGCCCAACACATAGTAACAGAACCAAAACACAAATTTGCATCATAAATTTTATTCCCGATGCGGGACAGATTCCTTCCATCCCCAAATGAATCACATGCTGCCCTGGAAAGACCTAGGAAACTCTCCTACCATCTCCAGAGAAGTAGTGAGAAAGGCAGGTGCTGGGGACTGGGAAGGCTTTGAAGTTTCCCAGCCTACTTATCCTCCCCTTCTCAAGAGAGGATAGCTGTTCCCTATTACTCCTCTCATCCACTCATCCCTTAAAAAAAACCCACAAAACCATCATTAGTAAAAAAACAAAACCCCTTCAAGTATTGGGGGTTAGGGGTTCTGGGCTGGGACTTGGGGTTATGGGTCACCAATGAAAGAGGGAGGGGAAGAGGAGGAGGAGCCATCACTGTTTCTGCTGCAGGGCTTCCTTCCTTGCCGCATCCTGTAGCAACTGTGTGTCGACCTCATCTGCTGGCAGCTGCACGTATCGGACCACTGAGCCCCGAATGAAGCAGTTCTTCACTGATAACTAGACAAAGATGGACAAATATGAAAACACCCTTAAAAATGTCCTCTAACCACCCAGGGGCCTCCTGCTTTAGAGGTGTTTCCTCTTCTCCACAGACCCCAACTCACCATGTGAGGGTATTTCTCAGGGTCTGTGACACTGATGTCAGTTAGTTTGATGTTGAGATACTAGGAAAGGAAGATGAACACCATTATTATTATTATTTTTTTTTTTTTGAGACAAGAGTTTTGCTCTTGTTGCCCAGGCTGGAGTGCAATGGTGCCATCTCGGCTCACTGCAATCTCCGCCTCCTGGGTTCAAATGATTTTCCTGCCTCAGCCTCTCGACTAGCTGGGATTACAGGTGCCCACCACCACGCCCAGCTAATTTTTTGTATTTTTAGTAGAGACGGGGTTTCACCATGTTTGTCAGGCTTGTCTTGAACTCCTGACCTCAGGCCTCGGCCTCTCAAAGTGCTGGGATTACAGGCGTGAGCCACCGTGCCTGGCCGACGAACACCATTATTAACCCTAGAGACATGATGTAAGAACCCAACCCTTAAGTCTCCCCTCTCCTTCTCCAGGAACCAATTCTGGGGCCCGTGCTATATCTCACCTGATCCACAGAATGGAGGGTTCCACAGATGCTGTCAAGGGCAGAGGGAGAGAAGAATCAAATTAGTTTATAACAAAGTCAACATAGAGGTGACTTCAGAGCTGGGATGAGAACATGACTGGGAGAAGTCAAGGACTTGAGGATGTCAGAAAAGGTAGAACCAAAAGGGGGCATTCCTAAGCCCTGGAGTAGGAAAGACAACTAACAGAGTAGTTTATTTTCAACCCCACATCTCCTCTCCCTAAACCAATCCATTCTTTTTTTTTTTTTTTTTTTTTTTGAGATGGAGTCTCACTGTCAGCCAGGCTGAAGTGCAGTGGTGTGATCTTGGCTCACTGCAACCTCTGCCTCCCAGGTTCAAGCGATTCTCCTGCCTCAGTCTCCTGAGTAGCTAGGACTTCAGGCGCATGCCATCATGCCCGGCTAATTTTTTATTTTTAGTAGAGATGGGGTTTCACCATGTTGGCCAGGCTGTTCCTTAACTCCTGATCTCAGGCGATCTGCCCACTTCAGCTCCCCAAAGTGCTGGGATTACAGGTGTGAACCACTGTCCCCGGCCAAACCAACCTATTCTTAACAGCTACCATTAAACAACTGGTAAAGGCTAGACCTGTATTCTATATAGTATTTGTAATCTTTACAGCCATCTTTCAAAGTAGTTATTACCTTCCAGGGGCTCAGAGAGGTTGTTTTAAACTTTATGAGTTTAGAACAAATGGGAACTTCAGTCCAAGTCTGTGTGACTCCCAAAACCATCAGCTATTTTTTTTTTATTTTTGCGACAGGGTCTCACTCTATGGCCAAGGCTGGAGTGAAATGGCGTGATCATGGCTCACTGTGGCCACTTGAGTAGCTGTGATTACAGGCTTGAGCCACCATGCCCAGCTGATTTTTTTTTGAGATGGAGTCTCGCTCTGTCGGCCAGTCTGGAGTGCAGTGGCACAATCTCGGCTCACTGAAAGCTCCATCTCCCAGGTTCACGCCATTCTCCTGCCTCAGCCTCCCGAGTAGCTGGGACTACAGATGCCGGCCACCACTCCTGGCTAATTTTTTGTATTTTTAGTAGAGACGGGGTTTCACCGTGTTAGCCAGGATGGTCTCGATCTCCTGACCTCATGATCTGCCCACCTCAGCCTCCCAAAGTGCTGGGATTACAGGCATGAGCCACCATTCCCGACTTTTTTTTTTTTTTTTTGTAGAGAAAGGGTCTCACTGTGAATGTCACCCAGGCTAGCTATTTTCAAACATTTATTGCTTTGGAACCAGAGCCCATATGTGGATAAAGGTAGGTAGCATTACTCTTGATGATGCAGGCATGAGTGATGTCCTCTCCATTCCCCAATCCTCGAGCCCCTTGAAATGCTATTTGAGGAATGCTATCAAAACACCAGTGCTCTTTGAGAGAATGGTGCAAAAATTTAAAAAAACAGCCTTTGGCTGGGAATGGTTGTTCACGCCTATAATCCAAGCATTCTGGGAGGCTGAGGCAGGAGGATCGCCTGAAGCCAGCTGGAGAACAGCCCAGACAACATAGCAAGACCTCATCTCTATTTTAAAGTTATAAAATAAAATAACTGTGGCCGGGCACGGTGGCTCACGCCTATAATTCCAGCACTTAGGGAGGACGAGGCGGGCGAATCACGAGGTCAGGAGTTCGACACCAGCCTGGCCAACATCGTGAAACCCCATCTCTACTAAAAATACAAAAAATTAGCTGGGCATAGTGGCAGACGCCTGTAATCCCAGCTACTCGGGAGGCTGAAGCAGGAGAATCACTTGAACCCGGGAGGTGGAGGTTGTAGTGAGGCGAGATCGAGCCACTGCACTCCAGCCTGGGTGACAGAGTGAGACTCCATCTCAAGAAAAATAAATAAATAAAAATAATCGTAATAAATAGCAGTTTTAAAAACGTCCTTATCTTGCCAAAAATAAAGTTGGCAGTTCTCTGCCCCAATTTTTGTAAAATTCTGAAAGTCTTTAAAACCCAGCGTCTAGGCCATGTGCGGTGGCTCATGCCTATAATCCCAGAACTTTAGGAGGCCAAGGTGGGCGGATCACTTGAGGCCAGGACTTCAAGACCAGCCTGGCCAACACGGCGAATCCCCATCTCTACTAAAAATACAAAAATTGGCCGGGCGTGGTGGCTCACGCCTATAATCTCAGCACTTTGGGAGGCCGAGGCGGGTGGATCACGAGGTCAGGAGATCGAGACCATCCTGGCTAACACGGTGAAACCCCGTCTCTACTAAAAATACAAAAAATTAGCCGGGCATGGTGGCGGGCACCTGTAGTCCCAGCTACTTGGGAGGCTGAGGTAGAAAAATGGCGTGAACTGGGAGGCAGAGCTTGCAGTGAGCGGAGATCACACCACTACACTCCAGCCTGGGTGACAAAGCAAGACTCCGTCTCAAAAAAAAAAAAATACAAAAATTAGCTGGGCATTGTGGTGTGCACCTGTAATCCCAGCTACTCAGGAGGTGAGGCACGAGAATCACTTGAACCCAGGAGGAAAAAAAAAATTTAAAAATAAAATATAAAAATACAAAAATTAGCTGTGTGTGGTGCATGCCTGTAGTCCCAGGTATACAGGAGGCTGAGGCACGAGAATCATTTGAACACAGGAGGTAGAGGTTGCAGTGAGCCAAGATCATGCCACTGCATTCCAGCCTCGGTGACAGAGTAAGGATCTGTCTCAAAAAAAAAAAAAAAAAAAAAAGACCCACTTAAATATGCTCTAGGAAATTAATTTAAATGAACTAGTACTAGGCAATCATTATTTTTTTTGAGACAGAGGGTGAGTCTCTGCCTAATAACAAAAACAAAAACAAACACCCAGTATCTGAAACCCACTGCCTCAGTAATGTTCTCACCATATTGCTAGCTGCTGAAAAACATTTGACAGCACCCCACCATCTCCAGCAGTGAAATAACATTTGGGAATTGTACAAAGTGGTGTCATTTTATTAAGTCCCTTAAGGAGGGGGAGATACATAGCACAAAAGTGGTCTGACAACAAACATAAGAGAAAGAACTTTTGGCCAGGCGTGGTGGCTCACACCTGTGATCCCAGCACTTTGGGAGGCTGAGGCAGGAGGATCACTTGAGGTCAGGAGTTTGAGGCCAGCCTGGCCAACATGGTGAAACCCCATCCCTACTAAAAATACAAAAAATTAGCTGGGAGTGGTGGCATGCACCGGTAATCCCAGCTATTCGGGAGGCTGAGGTGGAAGAATCACTTGAACCCAGGAGGCAGAGGTTGCAGTGAGCCAAGATCGCGCCACCGCACTCCAGCCAGGGCAACAGAGTGAGACCCTGTCTCAAGGAAAAAAAAGGAGAAAGATCTTCTTTCTCATCCCAACAGAAAAGTCACTTTAAAGCCACACACATATTGGCTCACACCTGTAGTCACTGCACTTTGAGAGGCTGAGGTGGGAGGATCACTTGAGTCCAGGAGTTCAAGACCAGCCTGGGCAACACGGCCGAGACTCTGTCTCTATGAAAAATTTTAAAAATAATATAAAAAGGCCGGGTGCAGTGGCTCACGTCTGTAATCCCAGCACTTTGGGAGGCCGAGGCAGGTGGATCACGAGGTCAGGAGTTCAAGACCAGCCTGACGAAGATGGTGAAACCCGATGTCTACTAAAAATACAAAAATTAGCCAGGTATGGTGGCAGGCACTTGTAATCCCAGCTACTTGGGAGACTGAGGCAGGAGAATCACTTGAACCCAGGCAGCAGAGGTTGCAGTGACCCGAGATCATGCCACTGCACTCCAACCTGGGTGACAGAGTGAGACCCCATCTCAAACAAAAATAAATAAATAAATAGAAAAAAAAGAAGGCTGGGCGCAGTGGCTCACACCTGTAATCACAGTACTTTGGGAGGCCGAGGTGGGCAGATCACAAGGTCAGGAGATTGAGACCATCCTGGCCAACGTGGTGAAACCCCTTCTCTACTAAAAATACAAAAATTAGCTGGGCGTGGTGGTGCATGCATATAATCCCAGCTACTCGGGAGGCTGAGGCAGGATAATCACTTGAACCAGGGAGTCGGAGGTTACAGCACCACTGCACTCCAGCCTGGCGTAGACTCGACCAGAGCGAGACTCGTCTCAATAAAAAAAAGAAAAAAGAAAAAGAAAAGAAATGTTACTACGGCCGGGTGCAGTGGCTCACACTTGTAATCCCAGTACTTTGGGAGGCTGGGGTGGGCAGATCACGAGGTCAGGAGTTGGGAGACCAGCCTGGCCAACATGGTGAAACCCTGTCTCTACTGAAGATACAAAAAATGAGCCAGGCGTTGTGGCGCATGCCTGTAATCCCAGCTACCAGGGAGGCTGAGGCAGGAGAATCACTTGAACCCGGGAGGCAGAGGTTGCGGTGAGCCGAGATCACGCCATTGCACTCCAGCCTGGGCGACAGGGCAAGACTCTGTCTCAAAAACAAAATAAAATAAAAAAAATAAAGGTACTTTAGGGCCTAGGGTTATAACACAACAGTTAGGCTTCCCATGTAAAAGGCCCAGGAAGGAGAAAAGAGGAGAATCAAAAACAAGTCATCACACCAAATTGCCTAAGACTGATAGTGATTACCGTACTTGTCTTGCTCTGTGGCCCCAATCTATACACATCAATATCACTTGCATTGCCAGTGCTACAAATGGAAACCTGTGTTCTAAAACGCAAAGGCCCTTAAGTCCCTCTCCTCACCATTCCCTGCCCTGTCAACGTGTAACCCATGAAAAAATTATCTCACATAGAAATGTGGAAGACAGCCAGACACAGTGGCACACACCTGTAATTCCAGCACTTTGGGAGGCCAAGGTGGCAGGACTGCTTGAGCCCAAGAGTTTCAGACTAGCCTCGGCAACACAGTGAGACTCTGCCTCTCCAAATAATTAAAAAATTAGCTGGGCATGGTGGCATATAGCCCCAGCTATTCAGGAGGCTGAGTGAGCTATGGTGGTGCCACTGCACTACAGCCTGGACAACAGAGTGAGACCCCCATCTCAAAAAAATAAATGTGGAAGACGCTTTTGGGAAGAGAATACAATTGATCCCATCTTTCTAAAGGATAATGAGGTAACAGGTATCAATATTTTAAATGTACTTTTTTTTTTTTTTTGAGATGGAGTCTCAGTCTGTCGCCCAGGCTGGAGTGCAGTGGCCTGATCTCAGCTCACTACAACGTCCGCCTCCCGGGTTCATGTGATTCTCCAGCCTCAGGCTCCTGAGCAGCTAGGATTACAGGCGCACAACACAACATCTGGCTAATTTTTGTATTTTTAGTAGAGATGGAGTTTCACCATGTTGGCCAAGCTAGTCTCAAACTCGTGACCTCAGGCATCCACCCGCCTCGACTTCCCAAAGTGCTGGGATTACAGGTATGAGCCACCGCATCTGGCCTAAATGTACATATTATTTAAAGGACTGTACAGATAAGTACAGGGCCAGGTGTGCTGGCTCATGCGCGTAACCCCAGCACTTTGGGAAGCTGAAGCAAGAGGACTGCTTGAACTCAAAGAATTTGAAACCAGCCTGAGCAACAAAGTGAGGCACTGTCTCTAATTTTTAAATAAATAAATATTATTTTAAGAAAGAAAGTAGGACTAGGCGCAGTGGCTCACGCCTGTAATCCCAACACTTTGAGAGGCTGAGGCAGGTGCATCACAAGGTCGAGAGTTCAAGACCAGCCTGGCCTAGATGGTGAAACTCCATCTCTACTAAAAATACAAAATTTAGCCGGGCATGGTGGTGGGCACTTGTAATCACAGCTACTAGGGAGGCTGAGGCAGAGAATTGCTTGAACCCAGGAGGCAGAGGCTGCAGTGAGCCGAGATTACGCCATTGCAGTCCAGCCTAGGTGACAGACTGAAACTCCATCTCAAAAAAAAAAAAAAAGAAAGAAAAAAAGCTGGACAGAATCATATTTCAGTTGTGTCACTTACTAGTTTTGTAGACTTGAACAAGTGGTATAGCTGATCTAAGCCTCAGTTTCCTCGTGTAAAACAGCAATAGTATATATTACTTAGCAGTGTTTGAGAAATCAATCAATAAATGTATTCAGAATAGTGGTTAGTCAATACGTCTTCGGATATTATTTTTCTTTCTTTAAGCACCTATCATATAACTGGCCTATGCTAGGTATTAGATACACTACATGGTTTCACCATGTTGGCCAGGCTGTTCTCGCTCTCTTGACCTCGTGATCCACCCGCCTCAGCCTCCCAAAGTGCTGGGATTACAGGCATGAGCCATCGTGCCCGGCCTATGGCCTGTTCTTTTTTTTCTTTTTTTTTTTTTTTTTTTTTGAGACGGAGTCTTGCTCTGTCACCCAGGCTGGAGTGCGGTGGCACCATCTTGGCTCACTGCAAGTTCCGCCTCCCAGGTTCACGCCATTCTCCTGCCTCAGACTCCCAAGTAGCTGGAACTACAGGAGCATGCCACCACGCCTGGCTAATTTTTTGTATTTTTAGCAGAGACAGGGTTTCACCATGTTAAACAGGATGATCTCAATCTCCTGACCTTGTGATCCGCCTGCCTCGGCCTCCCAAAGTGCTGGGATTACAGGCGTGAGCCACCGCGCCCGGCCTGGCCTGTTCTTTTTTTGAGACAGAGTCTTCCTCTGTCAACCAGGCTGGAGTAAAGTGATACAATCATGGCTCACTGCAGCCTTGACCTCCTGGGTTCAAGTGATCCTCCCACCTCAGCCTCCCGAATAGCTGAGACTACAGGCATGTACACTACACCTGGCTAATTTTTTATAGAAATAGAGGTCTCATCACTATGTTGCCCAGACTAGTCTCGACATCCTGGACTCAAGTGATCCTCCTGCCTCAGCCTCCCAAAGTGCTGAGATTACAGGTGTGAGCCACCATGGCCAGCCTAGTACTTACTTTTTTTTTTTTTTTGAGACAGAATCTCACTCTGTCACCCAGCTGGAGTGCAGCAGTGTGATCTCAGCTCACTGCAACCTCTGCCGCCCAGGTTCAAGCGATTCTCCTGCCTCACCCTCCCGAGTAGCTGGGATTACAGGCACCAGCCACCGTGCCCGGCTAATTTTTGTATTTTTAGTAGAGACAGGGTTTCACCATCTTGACCGGGCTGGTCTTGAACTCCTGACCTCGTGATTCGCCCACCTTGGCCTCCCAAAGTGCTGGGATTACAGGCATGAGCCACACGTCCAGCCCGTGAGCCACTGCGCCTGACCTGTATTTACTCTTTAAACTATATATTGCTTTGTATTGTTTTCCAATACACGATACAATCTCTAAGCTTATCTGTAAATTTAAGGCACAAGGCATTTATTTATTGCTAAATTTTAAAATTTTTCTTAGAGATGGGGTCTTGCTCTATTGCCTGGGCTAGAGTGCAATGGAGTAATCACTGCTCACTGCAGCCTCAAACTCCTGGGCTCAAGCTTTCCTCCTTCCTCAGCCTCCCAAAGTGCTGGGATTACAGGCTTGAGCCACTGCACCCTATCCATTTATTTCTTCTGTACATCTTCCACCTCGCCTAGCCCTGAAATATTTCTCAAATTAAAGAGGTTCCAGGGCCCTGGGCACACCCACCCCCAACAGACTTGTTGGAACAGGTACCTACCTCAGGTCATTCTTTAGTTCCACGACCACATCCTTGCCCACAAGGGACTTGAAAAAAGAATAGAAGAGCTATTGGGAGAGAGGGGGAAAACCATCATGTGGGAAGGAGCATGGTAGGGAGGAGTGTCCTTTGACAGTATTACCAAATACTGGTATTGTGAACCCCACTGCATCCCTGACAGTTCTCAAAATTTCACAGGAAAGAATAATTGGTTGACAGAGCTGAAAGGCTGGAGCCCAAATTATTCTGCACACTGCACTGAGCCCATCACTTAAAGTCCCAGAGAGACTCTGCCCTGCATACGTCGGCCTCCCCACTGTGCTCTCTCAGTCGACCACCTTTCTCGGGTACCTGCCCACTCCTTTCAATGAATTGTAGAAAATATCCCACCCGCACCCTGCCGAAGCTTGCCTGGCAGAGAAGTGCTCTGAGGTCTAACTTTTCCGTCTCCCGCTATCCTCACTGAATCTCTCTCAGGGTTGGGGTTTTTTCCCTCATCATGGAAAAAATATCCCATTTGTTCTCAGTGCCTCCTCAATGAACCTGAGAAACAGTACAGTACTAAAGATGAAGATAAAAACTCCGGACCTAACTCCAGCCTAGGGGTACAAAGGCCAGATCCCCCGCCCCAACCATGCGAGGTCCCCGAGGGCGCCCCCTTTTGACGTCACGGTACCCACCATGGTGCTGGCGCCGCGGGCAGCGGGCCGGACCGGGAAGACAGCAGGGTGCTGCGAGCAGGTCTGGGGAAACCGAAGCGCGAGCCCGCGCGTGGGGCGAGGCGGGACCGCGCAGGCGCAGCGGGAAGCGACGCAGAAAGCTCCAAGCGCTGACGGGCAAAGCGCGGCCGACTTGCGGCTGGGGAGCGCAAGCTGGGTAGAGTAGAGGGGAGGAGGAAGCCGGGAAAGGGGCGGGGTTTCCTTCATTCCGACTTCCTCCCTGGCCGGCC